>NC_000012.12:28764296-28916991 GCF_000001405.40 Homo sapiens | reverse complement strand
AGGTATTGTTCGTTTTCATGTTAGAACTTTCTTAAGAATCTCTCATAAGGCTGATCTCATGGTAATAAATTCTCTTATTGTTTGCTTGTATGGAAAAGATTTATTACTCTTTAACTTATGAAGCTTAGTTTGGGATAATATGAAAATTCTTTATTGGAATTTCTTTTATTTAAAGACGCTGAAAGTAGGCCCCCAGTCTCTTCTGTCTTGTAGTGTTTCTGCTAAGACTGCTATTAGCCTGATGGGGTTCCCTTTGCCCTTTATAAGTAATATGACTGTTTTCTTTAGTTGCCTTTAAGGTTTTTTTCTTTCATGTTGACCTTGGAAAGTCTGAGGACTTTGTTTCTTGGGGCAGTCATCTTGTATAGTACAAGGATTCTCTGAATTCCTTCAATTTTCTTGTCAACCTCTCTAGTGATATTGGGGCAACTTTTGTGGACTATATTCTCAAGTATGTTTTCCAATTTGCTTACTCTCTCTTCTTCTTTCTTAGGAATGCCAATGGGCACAGGTTCGGTCTCTTTATATAATCCCACATTTCTCTAAAGTTTTGCTCATTAAAAACTTTGTTTTCAATACTTTTGTCTGACTGAGTGACTGGAAGGACCAATCTTCGAGCTCTGAAATTCTTTCTGCAGCTTGGTCTAGTCTGCTGCTATGACTTCTAACTATTTTGAAATTCCTGTAGTAAATTTTTTCATTCCAGAAGTTCAGTTTGGGTTTTCCTAAAATGACTATTCCATCTTACAGCTATTGGATTGTTTTACTGGCTTCATTGAATTCATTGATTTCAACTTTTTCTTGAATCTTGTTGAACTTTCTTGTCATCTAGATTCTGAATTCTATGTCTGTCATTTCAGACATTTCAATCTGCTTAAGATCCATTTTTTTTTTGGAAACTAGTGTGATCCTTGGGAGGTAAGGAAACTCTGTCTTTTTGAATTGCTGCAGTTCTTCTGCTAATTCCTTTTCATCTCAGAGGGCTGGTGTTTCTTTATCTTTTTGAAGTTGCTGCCATTTGGATGAAGCTTTTTGTTTTCATTTTATTTTATCCCTTGAGCGTTTGACTATGGTGTATACTGTAGATAGTCACTTGGCTTTGTTTCTGGGTGCTTTGAGAGAACCAAGTCTCTGTAGTTTCCTTAATTGTGGTTAGTTTCCTGCACTGGTTTTCACATGTGATAAGTGCTGAATGAATTTATTTCTGTTTGGTGGTGTCATTCAGGCTGCAATCCAGTAGATGGTGATTAAGAGTAAGAGCCAACAGATAAGCTTTTACTCAGTTGCACACCTCTTTTGTATTTTATTTTGTTTGCAACAATACCATGTGGAGGGGAGATGGGGAGGCAAGAGACAACTCCCTCACCAATCTGTTCCCAGGTGGGCTTTGTGGGACATCCCTGTAATCACTGGTGTTGCACCCACATTTTCTTAGCCCCAAGAGGTGCCCTTGAAGACTGCACTCTCCTTTCTCTTATGGCTGGCCCAAGCCAATGTTCAGGTCACCAGGAGACCCACAATACCCAAGGACCTGCTGGTCCTCTGTGCTTGGCAGAGTTGAAGCATGTTGCGGGGTGTGTCTGCAGATAGTCTGGTGATAGAGTGGGTCAAGAGTAGAGGATTCCCTGGGCAGAGTGGTGGCGCTGCAGGTGTGCAGCTAGTGTGGCAACTGTGGCCCAGCTTTTTTTCTCTCAGTAGATGGCTGTGGGAACTGCCCAGCTTATACTCCCACACTAAGTCTGCCTCCAGTGTCTGCCCTGGGAGCAGGTCTAACCAGCTAGTTTTGTCCCAAACCTTCTGCTCCCAGATCACTGGGCTGTTTCTCGTGTTGTGAGCCATGAGGCTCCCTCAGGCAGAAGCTGCAGCTGGCAACAGGCTACACTCTTTCTGGACCAGACTTGCAGAGGTATGGATGCCTAGCTTCTGCACTGGTATATGAACCCATGCCTCACTCTTCCTCATGTTCTAAGATGGGGGTTGCTGTCCTGATCTATCTCAAACCACAGATCTCAGCTCAATTCCCTTAGGCAGTGTGCTCAGCTCCTATGAGGTTGGGACCAGGTCTGCATCTTTGTTCTTTGGCGCCTTGGGGTTAAGCATTGCCTATGCTGGAGGAGTCAAACTGCTCCCAGGCTGTTGGTAAATTAATTAGGCAGGTCAGTGGAGGCTGTGCTGTGTGCACCCTCTTGCAGGAGCAGCCAGGCAAGGGCCTTGGGAGGAGCTGACAAACGAGGGGGAATGCAGATCAGATTTTCCCCCATCCTGTGGGAAAGGCATCCCTGCCAGGAAGTTAGCAGAGGCTAGAGTCACTCAGAGCAAGATGGAGAGCCTCGGGGGATGGGTTCCTATGATTGTGTTTCACTGTACCTGCCTCACATGTTAAATCTTCTGGGCTCTGTGGGAGTTGAAGTTCTGCCTCTGCCTACTCTCTGGGCAGTTCCCCTTGCCAATTCAAATGTGTATGGTGGTTGTAGGATTTGTGATATTCAGGATTCCAGAGATCCATATCAGGAGCGTTGTGCCCTGGAGTTTCTTCACTCACCCTTAGGACTTGTTTAAGACTGAGAGCCAGTCCTCGCACTCAGTCACTCTGTATAGGCTTCCCAGCTTCCTCCCTCTTTAACTTTGGTGTCTGTGTTGTCTCTTACTGCCTTTCAGTGTTTTTCTCAAAAGATCTGTTCAAAGTGTGGTGATTTACTTGATATTTTGGTTTCTGCTGGTGGAAGAAGCTTTTCCTGCCTTTGTCTAGTTGGTCAATCCCCGCGTCATTTGTTTTTTTGAAAATTAGCTTTGCTGGTTATAGTATTCTTGACTGACAGGTTTTTTTTTTTTTTTATCTGTCAGCACTTTAAATATATCATCCCATTCACTCCTAACCTGGAAGGTTTCTGCTGAGAAATCTGCTATTAGTGATGAGGATTCTTTTATATGTGACTTGACTTCTTTTAGAATTCTCTGGTTGTCTTTGACTTTTGACAGTTTGACCATAATGTGGCTCAGAAAGGACCTTTTGGGGTTGAATCTACTTGGAAATCTTTCAGCTTCCTGGATCTGAATGCACTTGTAGCTTCCAAGACATGGGAAGTTTTAAGCTACTATTTCATTAAATAGGTTTTCTATGCCTTTCCTCATATCTTCTTCTTTTATAAATCCCATAAGGAAAACATATTTTCACTTAATCATGTTCCATACATGATGTAGGTTTTCTTCCTTTTTACAATTCTGTTTCTTCCTTTCATCTGAATGAGTTATTTCAAAAGACTTGTCTTAAATTCACACATTCTTTCTTCTACTTAATCTAGGCTATGGTTGAAACACTCCATTGTACTTTTTATTTCATTTATTGAATTTTTTACTTCCAATGTTTCTTCTTGTTTTTAAAATATCTATCTCTTTGTTGAATTTCTTATTTACATTATGAATTGTTTTCATGATTCCATTGAATTGTCTACATGTGTTCTCCTGTATCTCACTGAGTTTCCTTAAGATTATTATTTTGTATTTTCTCTGAGACATTTTATAGATATCCTTTACTTGGAGATCTGTTACTAAAGAATTATTGGGATACATTGGAGGTCTTATGTTTCTCTTTCTTTGCTTTTTCATATTTCTAGTGTCCCTGTGTTGATATCTGCACATATGGTGGAACACTCATTTTTTCAAAGTTTATAAAGTAGCTTTCATAGGAAAAGCCTTTTTCCTGTAGTTATAGTTGAGTAGGGTATTTTGACTTTGGTTTAGAGTAGGTACAGTAATGTAGTCTTATTTTATTTCTTTGGCTATAAGTAATGTCAGTGGTGTCTGCAAGTGCCTCAGTGGCCTAGGTTGGGTGTTTTGAGGCTGAGGCATGGCTTTTCTGGCAGTAGGAGCCATCAGGCAGGTCAGTTCTCAGGCCCTGAAAGGGTATGTGTGGGTGTGTGGCAGCTCTGATTGTCAGGGGGCAGGGTTTCCAGTGGTGTTGGCCTCTGAGTAGGCCAATCTTCAGGCCCTTGGCTGGATCATGCAGTGCTTCTTCCACTAGAGTGGGCAGACCCACTCACAGTGGTGTCTTCACATCTTAGGGTAAGGGGTATGTGGCAGCTTCATTTCTGGAGTGGATTTTTTCCCACCACTACATAATAAGCATGAATACTTGACAGTCATGATTAAAGATGAGCAAAAATAAGGTTGAAAATGAAGAGTGCAGCTGGGGCTTGTTTCTGGTACTGTGATAAGACTGGTCATCTTTTCCTCACCAATAAAAATCAAAACCAAAAACCAAAAAAACCAAATTGGACAAAATTGGCAAAACCAATATTCATTGTTGATTATAGACAGACAATAAACTGAGAATAATTTATTGTTGAAACATTCTTAGAGTATCAGGTAAAAATATGGTAGTCTGTGGCCTATTTGCTGGGGGGCTGTGGGGTTGTTCATACTTCTCCTCTATAATTTAGTTGGTGATGACTATAATTTTAATAGCTTGTAATTGACCTCAAAACCTGCAGTTTTGCCACCAGAGGAGGCAGACTTGATTTTAGGCAAGGGATGGAAATTTGCAACTTTAGAACACTGCTATATTCACTAAAATCAAGTCAATATTAACCTGAATTTGATTATGATAAAATTGCAATAAGTTAAAGATTTATTTGCATTTCTTAGAGCAAAGAAACCCCTCAAAAATGTGGTTAACAAAAGAAATGTGAATTAAAATTATATACTAAAAAATATCTGTTTAACCTAAGAAAAGGCAGTAAGAAAGGGATAGAGGAACAAAAGAGAAGTGAGACATGAAGAATATAAGTACTTAAATGTAAATGAACTAGACACTTCAGTTAAAAGGCATACCAGGGTAACACTGGATAACAAATGATATATTATATGCTGCCTACAACAGAAACACTTCAGATTCAAAGATACAAGTAAGTTCAAAGTAAAAAAATTAAAGAAGATATACTATGCAAGCAGTAGCCCAAACCATAATCATAAGAGAGCTGCAGGAGCTATATGAATATCCTGCACATGTATTATTTCAGGTTGTGGTAGGTCAAGAATCTGGGCATGTCCCAGCTAGGTCCACTGCTTAGGATCTCACAAGACTGCAGTCCAGGTGTTAGTCAGTTGCAGTCTCATCTGAGGCTCAAGTGAGCCTACTTCCAAGCTCCCTTGGGTTGTTAGCAGAATTTACTTCCTTGCAGTTATTGAACTGGGAGCTCAGTTTCTTGTGAACTGTTGGCCAAAAGTTATCCTTAATTCTCCAATATGCCCACTTACTTTCTCAAAACCAGAAGGGAAGAAAGGATGAGAGACTCCAGTAAGACTACCAACCAATTTGACCTCTCTGACATATGTAGAAAACTCCACTCAGCAACAGCATGATACATATTCTTTTCAAGAGCACATTGGCAATTCTCCAGATAATAAATATGTGTTGTTTTAAGGTCCTAAGTTTTTGGAAATTTGTTATGAAGCAATAGGTAATTCACACAGAGGGAAACTTTTTTGACTTGATAAAAGGTATCAGATTTTGAAAAAATGTTGAAAGTCTGAATGTTTTTTCTCTATGCCTGTGAATAAGGCAAGGATGTTCACTGTCACCACTTCTAATCAACATCGTACTGGAGGTGCTAGCAAGGATAGCAAAGCAAGGAGAAGTTGAAGACATATTAGGGGACATCAAAAAGTTTGTGGAAAAAAATGAATTAAAAATAAAAATATATATATGCACATATATATATATATAAACTTTATTTCTCAACATAAGCTCCATCGAGTTCAAGACTTCTTTGTCAGCAATGATAACAGCCATTTATTCCATCCCTAAAAAACTCAGGGTCCTGAGAATTTAACCATGTTAATGCTGTCTTTTTTACATTATTAACTGAAGAAAAATAAGTGCCCTTTAAATATTTTTTAAGACTAGTAAACAAACAAAAGAGCCAGATGAAGCCAAATCATGACTTTAAAGTGGATGCCTAATGATTTCCCATCAAAATTCTCACAAAATTACCCTTGTTTGACAACGGGAATGAGCAGGAACATTGTCCTGGTGGAGGACCCTCTGGTGAAGTTCACCTGGGCATTGTTCTGTTAAAGCTTTGGCTATCTTTCTCAAAACACTCTCTTATTATAAGCAGGTGTTATCATTCATTTGCTTTCCAGAAAGTTAACAAGAAAAAGCCTTGAGAACTCCAAAAAACTGTTGTCATGACCTTTGCTCTTGGCTGGTTCACCTCCACCTCTTGGCAGCCAGTGCTTCGTGCTTTGTCTTTGGGATTGACTGGTAAAGCCATGTTTCATATTCTGTTATAATACATCAAAGAAATGCTTCAGGATCTTGGTGCCACCTGTTTAAAATTTTCATTGAAAGCTCTGCTCTTGTTTGCAACTCATCTGGACACAATTTTAGCACTCATTGAGTGTAAAGTTTGCTCAACTTTAATTTTTCAGTTAGAATTGTGGAAGATCAACAAATTAAGATGTCTACAATGTTGGTTATTGTTTATGCTGTTAATCATTGGTCCTCTTCAATTAGGACTTGAACAAGATAATTTTTTCCTCAAAAACTGATGTGGATGGTCTGCCACTGCAGGCTTCATCTTCAACATCATTTTTTCCCTTCTTAACAAGTTATCTATTTGTAAACTTCTGATTTTGGTGGGGCATTATTCCCATAAACTTTCCATAAAGTATCAATAATTTCACCATTCTTTCATTTAAGCTTCACCATAAATTTTGTTTGTTCCTGCGTCCATTATAGCAGAATTCATGTTGCTCTGTTAAGGGCTGTTTTCAAAGTGATATCTTATCCTCTTTAATGCCTAAAACTAGATCCTGTTCAGACATGTTATAACAAGTTAGTATGAATTTATTTTCATACAAAAAACCCATGCATAGTTTTTCATAATACACACTTTCATAAACTTTTTGAAGACCTCTTATAGGATTAGAAAGGAATATATGTAACACTATCTTTATTCACAAATGATAATTTTTTCTATGTAGAAAACACTATGGAATTTATGAACTTATTTGAACTATTATGCAGGGGTTCAGGATAGAAGATCAATGATCAATGTAAACTCGATTGTATTTTTATATGTTGGTAATGAACAACTCAATAATAAAATTATGAAAATGATTTAACTTATAAATAATATTTCTGTTAGGAAGTGAGAGAGACAGAGGGTGGGAAAAGAGATTGATTGTGAGTCACAATAGTCTCTTAGGAAGTAAAAGAAGTTTAGGAGAGTAGTTCGAAATAAAGCTATAAAGGGCACAGGAGAAGTCATGAAGATGTCTGCAGTCCATATTAAGAAACTTGGACTTTAGGCTGAGAACTAGTAGAAAATATTTGAGGATTTTATGTTTTTAAATAAGGAAAACCACATGATATTTCTATTTCAGAAAGCTTATTCTAACTGCAATGTGAATTGGAGAAGAATACAACTGGAATAAGACAGGATGCTGTTGCAGTAATCTAGGCAGGATGGAGTTAGCAAAACTGGAAAGAAGTGGTCATATTTGAGGTATTTGAAAGGCAAATAATCTGAAAATGATTCAATACATAAAGCAAAAGTATGACTCAAATATTTTCCGTGCTTTCTAATGATTACAGACTTTCCAAAAAACATTGCCTAGATGGCTATGAAAGTTGGTTCTGAGCAAGTTCAAATTTCCTCATGAAAATCTTTTCAATTTTACCTGGTAGATCACTGGGTGGTCTTCAAATGTGGCAAGTGACCTAGATGAACTGAAATGTCTTTTTAGATCCTAATATTCTATGAACAATAAAATTGGACAAAAATGCTTAGAGGATAAGTGAAATCAATAAAAAAGGAACATCTTGGAAATTAGCAATGGATATAAAACTATTCTATCAACGGATAAAGAAATTTAAGATCTAGGTCAATAAAACTGGACCATGTGCTTTTTATTCTTATTTAGTCATGTATTAATTAAAGAAATATTTATTGTGTATTTACTGTGTGTCAAAATTGTTTTAGGCATTTAGGACATAATGAAAAGGACAATGAAGTCTACTTTAATGAAATTGATATGCTAATGGGGAGAGAAGCACATAAACGGATAATAAATGAGTAAGATTATTTTACAGATTCTGAATTGCTTCAAAGGATACAGCTTGAAGATGTAGTACTGAGAATGACTCAGAAAGGAGTTCCTTAAATAGTTTAATAAGCAAAGACTACTCTGAGTAAATAGCATCTAACTAAGAAAAGGTAATTCTTAAGATATCATTATATATTATGGCTGTAACAAATAAAAGATTAAAAATAGTAAAGATGTGCTCATGTTCTGTCTAAAATAATATTATGGATAGAACAAGCAAGTCATTTGATAAATGGAAGTAAGCAACCTGATGCATTTTTTTGCTTTCTTAAATATTTTTCTAAAATCCTAAAGCTAGAAATAATAGAAAATAAGTACAGAAAAATTCTTAAAACTGGTTCTGGCCACATTCAATTTATGATCAATCTCCATCACTTAGCTCCAGTCTATATGAAAAGAAGACCAGTTAGTTGAAGGAATGACTTGAGAGTGCCATTGTAGGTCAAGGGAAGAATACCTCTCTCCTCCTTATAGAGTCAGCCAGACAAGCCTATGGCTTTTGTTGACAAAAGGGCAATGCAGAGGTTCCTGCAACTAATTCTTCAGAAGCAACTTGTAATCTTTTGTGTCTCTAGAGTCTGGAACTAAAAATGTTGGGGTATATGAGGATTTACTTTCTGGTAAACGCCCACCAGAACTGATACGTGGGAAAATGAAACATGAGGCATATGAACTTATTTGCAGCTCCACAGTGTTGGAGTTCGGTGCTGTACAGTGATTTCTCAGGAAGAGAGAGTCATGTGACCAAAACCATCCCTTCTCCAACCTTCTCAGTTTTCGTATTATTTCCTGAACTCCATTGGCTCTTCTTAGCTCTGGAGTGTTACCCTATTTTCTACCTCTTCAGCAATTTGTCTCTAGCACCTCTCTGATACCCTTTACCAGCCTGAGGCCTAGGGTGACTGTTTTCCAAAATGACTCAACCATTTTACATGCCACCAGAAGTATATAAAGTTTCTCATTTCTTCATATTCTTACCAACACTTGTAGTTGTCTGTCTTTTTTATTATAGCCATTCAAGTGAGAAGTGTTACCTAATTGTGGTTTTGATTTGCACTCCTTAATGACTAATGATGTTAGGTATCTTTTCACATGCTTTTTGTCCATTTGTATTTCTTCTTTTGAGGAATATTTGTTCAGATCCTTTGCCCATTTTAAAATTAAATTATCTTGTGAAGAAAGTATATTCTGTTGTTGTTTGGTGTAGTGTTCTATAGATATCTATTGGGTTTAGTTGTTTTATGGTGTTTAAATATTCTATTTACTTATTGGTGTTTGTCTATTTCCACCCATTATTAAAAATGGGGTACACGGCCAGGTGCGATGGCTCACACCTGTAATTCCAACAATTTGGCAGGCTGAGGCAGGTGGATCACTTGAGGTCAGGGGTTCCAGACCAGCCTGGCCAACCTGGTGAAATCCCGTCTCTCCTAAAAATACAAAAAAATTAGCCAGATGTGGTGGTGGGCACCTGTAATCACAGCTACTCAGGAGGCTGAGGCAGGAGAATCACTTGAACCTGAAAGTCGGAGGTTGCAGAGAGCCAAGAGCACATCATTTCACTACAGGCTGGGTGACAGAACGAGACTCTGTCTCAAAAAAAAAATGGGGTACTGAAGTCTCCAATTATTATTATTGAATTATCCTTTTCTTCCTCCGTTTCCGTCAGTCTTGGATACGTGTAATTTGAGGCACTCTTGTTAGATACATATGTTTGTAATTGTTATTTTTTTAATGTACTGAACCTTTACCATTATAAAATGTTCCTCTTTGTTTCTTGTAACAATTTTGTTCTAAAGTTTGTTTTCAATATTGGTATTATAGCTACTCCAGTTTCCTTTAGGTCAGTTTACATGGTATATATTTTTCATCATTTCACTTTCAACTTATTTTTAGTTTTGAGTATAAATTGTATCTCTTATAGATGGCATACATTTGGAACATTTTATCCTCTCTGCTGATCTCTGCCTTTTGATTTGAGAATTTAATTTATTTATATTTAATGTAATCGTTTGATAAGGTAGAAGTAATGTCTGCCATTTTGCCATTTTTCTATATGTCACATCTTTTTTGTTCTTCAATTTCTCTATTTCTGCCTCTCTGTACTAAATATGTATTTTCTAGTGTACCATTTCCATACCTTTGTCATTTCTTTACTATATTATTTTGCATTATTTTTTATTGGTGCCCTGGGGATTGCAATTAACATTTCAATTTTTAATGATCTAGTTTAGTTTAATACCAATTTAATTTCAATTATATACAAAACTTTGTTCTTGTAGAGCTTTGTTTCTCCTTCCTCCTTTGAGTTATTATTATCATACAAATGACATCTTTCAACATTCTGTGCCCATCAACTTAGAGTTATAATTATTGCTTGTAATTGCATTTTAAATCAGATAAGAAAAAAAGGGTTACAAAAATAAATGTATTCAAGTTGTTTTTATGTTTATCTATGGAGTTAACTTTATTGGTCTTCATGTTTCTCCATGTGTAAAGTTCCTGTCTTGTGTCCTTTTATTTCAGCCTGAAATAATATAATATTAACTCCTTAGTATTTCTTGTAAGGTAGGTTTGATAGTAACACATTTTCTCGGTTTTGTTTTATATTGGAATGTCTTAATTTCTCCATCATTTTTGAAGGATAATTTTGCTGGAAATAGAATTCTTGGTTGATGAGGAATTGGTTGTCAATCTTATTAAAGATGTTTTGCACGTGATGAATCACTTATTTTGCTCCATTAAAAATTGTTTTTGTATTCATCTTTGACAGTTTGGTTATGAAGTGTCTAATTGTGAATCTCTAAAGTTTATCCTACTTAGAATTAGAATTCATTGAGTCTGAGATCTATAGATTAATATTTTTCAATAAGTTTTGGAAGGTTTCAGCCATTTAAAAAAATAAAATAGCTCCACTTTGTGGTTTCACTTTTCATGATTTCACGTAAAGTGATCAACTGCAGTCCAAAATACTGAATAAAGAATTCCAGAAATAAATAATTTATAAGTTTAAAATTGCATGCCATTCAGAGTAGTGTGATAAAATATTGTGCTGTCCCACTCTTTCCTGCCTGGGATGTGAATCATTTCTGTGTTCACCATATCCATGCCATATAGAGCACCCATCTATTAGTCACTTAGTAGCTGTCTTGGTTATTAGATTGACTATTGCAGTATTGCAGTGCTTGTGTTAAGGTAACCCTTGCTTTATTTAATAAAGGCCCCAAAGTGTAATGGTAGTGATGATGGCAATTTAGATATGCCTTTTCTTTTCTGGATTTTGGATGATGTTTCTGTGCTGAGGATAATAGGTGTCAAAACCCTGCACATTCTAAAATAGGTGTTTGGACTCACAATGGGCTACCAGCTTGGCCACTATTAGTCTTTGTGGTGAGATTATTAGTGGTATTTTCCTCCCTAGACATTGAAAAGACACATATCTCAGATGTGTCATACTCATACATCATATTCAGATATGTCATACTCAGAGTATGAGTAGTTCTTGTCAATGAACTGTGATCAGAAGAAAAAGAGACATTTGTCACTTCCTGATTAAGGCAATGGGGTACTTTATGTCTTTTCCTGCTGTAGAGAATCTGCAGACACATTTTGAAATGAAAGAGCCACCAAGTGGTTAAATCTCTATCTGCTTGGGTCTTGGAGTAGCTGTGTAGGTCAGGGTCTCCAGCTGATTGGTATTAGACATAAATCATAAGTGAGAGATGCATTTGTTCTATTAAGCTTCTGAGTCTTCAGGATGGATTTGTTAGTATGTCAGACATAGACTGACATAGCTTCTCATTCTCCTCCAAACTATACAATGGGAATCAAAACTTTATTAAGAGGTTGGTAGAATAGAATAAATGTTTTTGGAAAATGTTACATCTATGCTTTTCAGTTTCTTCATTTTAACACTAGGGCTGGAATATAGAGTAGGAAATCTATCCCCAGACCCCAGTTAAGTAGGTAGTTTTCCTACCATTTTCTTCAGAAAACCATTCGAAATCTCAAGAGGTGTTCCCTAGCATTTGAGTAACATAAGGACTGGAACCTAACTCATACTGAAAATAAAAATATTTAAAGGCAAGAAGCTGGCTGAAGATGTGCCCAGTTGTAGAGTGGGAGGAAAGAATTACAGAGGAAATAAACATCTCCTTCACCACACCTGGGGAAAAGTCAAGTATATCCCATGGAGTAGAGATACAAAACCTACAGAAGAGAGCCAAAATTGAGTCTTGAAATTGGTCCTACCCCAGTGGTCCAGTTGGGGTTGAGAGATAATCCTAACAGAAATAATTTCTGAGGTAGAAGTGTGGGATTTAGTGATCAAGAACCATGTTGCAAGGGCTATCCATGGGAGACATATCCTGAATCAAAAAACTGTAAATATTTATCCTTCATAGTGTAGGTAGAGTTGGTCTAACAATAATCACAAAACTCCTTACTGGAAAAAGAATAAGCTTTAAAATTTGAATTCAAGATTAAAACTGTTATACAGATTGGATTGCAATTTTAAATATCTGAAACTTGAGAATATTTGTTGATTTAAGAATAGCCTGGAAAAATTGAGTCAGCTCAAGATTTTATCTAAGTGCATTTAAGAACAACTCAATAGAATGGGTATAAAAAGGAAATAGTGGCAAAGAACAAATGTACTTTCTGCTTATAATTTACTGAGTCAATGCCTTTAATCAACTACTTACAGTGACACGGGAGCATTTGGTATGCATAAAAATTGCAAATATTTTGTAAGACTGAAAATAGCCATATAAAAGCTATATGTATATATGTATACATACTTGCTAAGGAGTATATAGGTGGAAGTGGAGCACATGACCAGATTTGCCTTTTAGAATATCATTCCTTAAGAAGTATGAGGTAAAATTGAAAGAAGTTATGTCTCAGAGTAGAATGACCAGTCAGAAGGCTGTTGCAATTTTCTAAGCAAGAGCTACAAGAGCCAAAACTAAGTTAAAAAATTTTGAATTAGAAAGAAAGAGAAAATTCAGGCAATATTTGGGAGGCAGAAGACATGGCTTGATTATCAATTAAATATAGTGTGTGGAAAGAAGATTTGAGCTCATACCAAGAATTCTGTCTTAAGATGTTTACTAGATTGCAGAACATCTAAGGAGAAGAAATGTGGATAGAAGGAGAATTCAGTTTGTATTAGATTTGTGGTGCTGGAGTTGCCCCTGGGATATTCAGGTGGAGCTAGCTATACAGATTAGAAGTCCAAGGGAAAATTCAAGACAGTGATAAAAGTTGAAAATATAATTGCATTTGCTTTTACCTACCAAAGCTATGGATGTCATAGGACATAGTCCTAATGAGATGTAATTGGAAATTCGCTGGGTAAGGGATTCAGGAAAGTGTAATTGATTGAGAAAGATGGTTGTCATTTCCTTTGTCCTTCTGCCCTTTGCTACTTCCCCTTTCCTTCTCCTACCTGGAATGAGATCATAAGATCTGCAGATTCAGCAGCTATTTTGTATCCATTGGCAAGAGAAGAAGGACAATAGCCTGCAAGCTGGGCTTAGAAGAAAAGAAAAATGGAAAGAGACATAATCTCTGTTGATATCACTAAAACACCCTAAATTGATTAACTCAGTGTTTCTTCTTTACAGGATAAATAAATCCATAAGTAATTAATCCATTATTGATGAGATTATTGATGAGATAAATAAATCTATAAGTACTTAATCCATTATTTACAATATTTTATATTGTTGAGAGAGGAATATAGTCAAAACTAATATACAAGTTATTAGCTCTTAGATGGTAGTTGAACAAGATCATGACTGTAAATGCCCAAGGCACTGAACCAAATATTTGGGAGATATTAACTTACTTGTGACATTCTACATATGTTGAGTTGCCATATGTGTTGGTCTATAGCCTTCTGACTGGTCATTCTACTTTGAGATATAACTTCTTTCAATTTTACTTCATACTTCTTAAGGAATGATATTCTAAAAGGCAAATCTGATCATATGCTCCACCTCCACCTATATATTCCTTAGCAAGTATGTATACATATATAATATAGCTTTTATATGGCTATTTTCAGTCTTACAAAATATTTGCAATTTTTATGCATACCAAATGCTCCCGTGTCACTGTAAGTAGTTGATTAAAGGCATTGACTCAGTAAATTATAAGCAGAAAATACATTTGTTCTTTGCTACTATTTCCTTTTTATACCCATTCTATTGAGTTGTTCTTAAATGCACTTAGATAAAATCTTGAGCTGACTCAATTTTTCCAGGCTATTCTTAAATCAACAAATATTCTCAAGTTTCAGATATTTAAAATTGCAATCCAATCTGTATAACAGTTTTAATCTTGAATTCAAATTTTATAGCTTATTCTATAACAGTCTCACCTTGCTATAAAAACACATCTGAGAATGGGTAATTTATAAAGAAAAGAGGTTTTATTGTCTCACAGTTCTATGGGCTGTAGAGGCTTCTGCTTCTGGGGAGGCCTCAGGAAACTTATAATCATGATGGAAGGTGAAGGGGAAACAATCACATCTTCAAATTGCCAGCAAGAGAGGGAGAGAGCAAAAGGCGGGGGGCGGGGAGGTGGCAGGAAATACTACATACTTTCAAACAACTGCATCTCATGAATGATAACTCACTATCCTGAGAACAATAAGTGGGAAATCCACCTCCATGATCTAATCACTTCCCACCAGGTCCCTTTCCCAACATTAGGGATTACAATTCAATATGAGATTTGGGTGGGGACACAGAGCTAAACCATATCATTCCACCCCGGCCTCTCCCAAATCTCATGTCCTTATCACATTTCAAAACACAATCATGCCTTTCCAACAGTCCCCCAAAATCTGAACTCATTCCAGAATTAACTCAAAAGTCTGAATCCAAAGTCTCATCTGAGACAGGGCAAGTCCCTTCTGCCTATGAGCCTGTGAATTCAAAACCAAATTACTTACTTCCAAGATACAATGGGGGTACAGGCATTGGGTAAATATTACATTTCTCAAACAGAGAAATTTGCCAAAACAAAGGGGCTACAGGCCCCATGCTAGTTTGAAACCCAAGAAGACAGTTATTAAATCTTAAAGCTCCAAAATAATCTCTTTTGACTCCATGTCTCACATCCATGCAACACTGATGCAAGGGATGGGCTCCCAAAGCCAGGTGCTGCTCCACCCCTGTGGCTCTGCAGGTTGCAGCCCTCCTGGCTGCTTTCACAGGCTGGTGTTGAGTGCCTGTGGCTTTTCCAGGCACATGGTACAAGCTGTTAGTGGATCTACCATTCTGGGGTCTAGAGGAAAGTGGCTGTCTTCTCACAGCTTCACTACGCAGTGCCCCAGTGGAGATTTTATGTGGGGGCTCCAACTCCACATTTCCCCTCCTCACTGCCCTAGTAGAGGTTCTCCACGAGGGCTCCAGTCCTGCAGAAGACTTCTGCCTGGACATCCATATGTTTTCACACATCCTCTGAAATCTAGGCAAAGCCTGCCAAGCCTCAACTCTTGCCCTCTGTGCACCCACATGCTTAACACCATGTGGAAGCTGCCAAGGTTTTTGGCTTGCACCATCTGGAGCAGTGGCCTGAGACATATCTGGGGCCTTTTTAGCTACAGCTGGAGCTGGAAGGGCTGGGATGCAGGGCTCCACGTTTTGAGACTATACAGAACAGCAAGGCGCTGGGCCTGGCCCACAAAACCATTTTCCCCCAATTTCCTCCCCAGAAAATAGGTTATTCTTTTCTACCATGAGGTCAGGCTGAAAATTTTCCAAACTTGTATGCTTTGCTTTCCTTTTAAATATAAGTTCTAGTCTCAGATAATCTATCTATACACACATATGAATGCATGCTGTTAGAAGCATCCAGGCCAAATCTTGAAAGATTTGCGGCTTAGAATTTTCTTCTTCCTGATACCCTCATTCATCTCTCTGAAGTTTAAACTTCCACAGATCCCTAGAGCAGGGGGAAAATCTGCAAGTCTTTTTGCTAAAGTATAGCAACAGTGACCTTACTCCAGTTTTCAATAAGTTTCTCATCTCCATCTGAGACCTCCTCAGCCTGGACTTCACTGTCCAAATCACTATCAGCATTTGGTCACTACTATTCTACAAGTCTCTAGGAAGTTCCAAACTTGCCCTCATCTTCCTTTCTTCTTCTGAGCTCTTCAAACTGTTCAACCTCTGCCTATTACTCAGTTCCACAGTTGCTTCTATATTTTCAGGTATCTTTATAGCAATGCCCCACTTCTCTGGTATCAGTTTTCTGTATGAGTTTATTCTCATATTGCTCTAAAAACATACCTGAGAATGGGTAATTTATAAAGAAAAGAAGTTTAATTGGCTTATGCTTCTATGGGCTGTATAGGCTTCTGCTTCTGGGGAGGCCTTAGGAAACTTATAATCATGGTTGAAGGTGAACAGGAAGAAAGTACATCTTCACATGGCTGGCAGGAGAGAGAGAGCAAAGATGGGGAAGTGCTACACACTTTCAAACAACCAGATCTCTTGAGAACTCACTATCACCAGAAAAACAATCAGAAATTTGACCCCAAGATTCATCATCTCCCACCTGGTCCCTCCCCGAACATTGGAGATTACAATTCATCCTGGAATTTGGGTGGGGACAGAGTCAAACCATATTACCATGTAAGCCAAAAAATATCAGTGTTGTGTCATGATGGAGCAAATGAACAATTAAAGCAAATAAGCCTGAGAGGTCAAGCAAGATTGCCCTAGTCATTCATTAGTTTACTAAATTCATTCCACAGTAGTGTGTCAGGCACTCAAAGCTCAGTGAGTGGACCCCTTGGGGGCAGCTGCAAGTGGCAAAAATTCTTCTACATGGATTCTCTTAGTCATTGTGGTTGTCTTCTTTGTAAGCTTGTTAAAATATACTCCTACTCTCTTTGTTTTTATGTCATATTCTCTTAACTTCTTAACTTCTGGGGATTTCTTAGTCTTGAACTGAAGCCTCCTTGCCATATGTGTTTCAATGTCACAGAAGCAACAGAAGCTGTCTCTGTTTGTAAGAGAAAAGGTAGCTGTGGGAGTATTTAACCATCTTATGGGTAAACTTTGTCCTCCCCAAATTCATATGTTAAAGTCCTAATCCCCAGCACCTCAGAATGTGACCTTATTTAAAATAGGGTAATTGAAAATTTAATAAGTTAAGTGTGGATGAGTCATGCTGGAGTGGAATGGACCTCTAATCCATTATCACTGGTGTCCTTATAAAAGGGAGAAATTTGGACATGGACACACATGCACACACACACACACACACACACACACACACACACACAGAAAGCCATGTAAGAATAAAGGCAGAGACTAGGACGATGTTCATTTATGCCAAGTGTATTAGTCCATTTTCACACTGCTGATAAAGACATATCTGAGACTGGGCAATATATAAAAGAAAGAGGTTTACTGTACTTACAGTTCCATGTGGCTGGGGAGGCCTTACAGTCATGGTGGAAGGTGAAAGGCATGTCTCACATGGTGGCAGACAAGAGAAGACAGCTTGTGCAGGGAAACTCTCCTTTTTGAAACCATCAGATCTCATGAGACTTATTCAATATCATGAGAACATCATGGGAAAGACGTGCCCCCATTATTCAATAAATTCCCACTGGGTCCCTCCCATAACATGTGGGAACTCAAGATGAGATTTGGGTGGGGGACACAGCCAAACCATATCATTTTATCACTGGCTCCTCCCAAATCTCATGTCCTCACATTTCCAAACCAATCAGGCCTTCCCATCAATAACTCAGAAGTCCACAGTCCAAAGTCTCATCTGAGACAAGGCAAGTCCCTTCTGCCTATGAGCCTGTAAAACAAAAGCAAGTTAGTTACTTCCTAGATACAACGGGGGTATAGGCATTTGGTAAATGCAGCTGTTCCAAATGGGAAAGATTGGCCAAAACAAAGGGGCAACAGGTCCCATGCAAATTTGAAATCCAGCGGGGTACCCAAATCTTAAAGCTCTAAAATGATCTATTTTGATTCCATGTCTCACATCCAGGTCACACTGATGCAACAGGTGGGCTCCCATGGTTTTGGGCAGCTCCACCCCTCTGGCTTTGCAGGGTACAACCTCTTTCCTGGCTGCTTTCATGGGCTGCCATTGAGTGTCTGTAGCTTTTCCAGGTGCGTGGTGCAAGCTGTCAGTGGATCTACAATTCTGGGGTCTGGAGGACAGTGGCCCCCTTATCACAGCTCCACTAGGTGGTGCCCCAGTAGGGACTCTGTGTGGGGGCTTTGACCCCACATTTCCCTTCTGCACTGCCCTAGCAGAGGTTCTCCATGAGGGGTCTGCAGCAAACTTCTGCCTGGGAATCTAGGCATTTTCATATATCTTCTGAAATCTAGGCAGGGGTTGCCAAGTCTCAATTCTTAACTTCTGTGCACTCACAGGCTCAACACCATGTGGAAGCTGCCAAGGCATGGGGCTTGCACCCTCTTAAGCAAGAGCCAGAGCTGTACCTTGGCCCTTTTTAGTCATGACTGGAGCAGCTGGGATGCAGGGTACCAAGTCCCTAGACTGTACACAGCAGAGGGACCATGGGCCTGGCACATGAAACCATTTTTCCCTCCTAAACCTCGGGGTGTTTGATGAGAGGGCCTGCCACAAAGATCTCTAACATGTCCTGGAGATATTTTTCCCGTTGTCTTGGTGACTGACATTTGGTTTCTCATTACTTATGCAAATTTCTGCAGCTGGCTTGAATTTCTCCTCAGAAAATGGGATTTTCTTTTCTATCACATTGTTGGGCTGCAAATTTTCCAAACTTTTATGCCCTGTTTCTCTTTTAGAATGAATGCCTTTAACAGCACTAAAGTCACCTCTTGAATGCTGTGCTGCTTAGAAATTTCTTCTGCCAGATACCCTAAATCATCTCTCTCAAGTTCAAAGTTCCACAAATCTCTAAGGCAGGGGCAAAATGCTGACAGCCTCTTCATTAAACATAACAAGAATCACCTTTTCTCCAGTTCCCAACAAGTTCCTTATCTCCATCTAAGATCACCTCAGCCTGGACCTTATTGTTCATATCACTATCAGCATTTTTGTCAAAGCCATTCAACAAGTCTCTAGGAAGTTTCCAACTTTCCCACATTTTCCTGTCTTCTTCAGAGCCCTCCAAACTGTTCCAACCTCTGCCTGATACTCAGTTCCAACGTTGCTTCCACATTTTCTTTTCAGTTATGCTCCAGTCCTGGTACCAATTTACTGTATTAGTCCATTTTCACGCTGCTGATAAAGACATACCCAAGTCTGGGCAATTTGCAAAAGAAAGAGGTTTCTTAGACTTACAGTTCCACATGGCTGAGGAGGTCTCACAGTTGAAGTGGAAGGTGAAAGGCACACCTCACATGGCAGCAGACAAGAGAAGAGAGCTTGTGCAGGGAAAGACCCCTTTTTAAAACCATCAGATCTCATGAGACTTGTTCATTATCACATTAACAGCACAGGAAAGACCTGCTCCCATGACTCAGTTACCTCCCACCGGGTCACTGTCCCACAACACGTGGGAATTCAAGATGAGATTTGGGTGGGGACACAGCCAAACCATATCACCAAGGAATGTAATAGAATTCCAGAAAAACACCAGGAGCTAGGGGAGAGACATGAAAAAACTTCCCCTCACAGCCCTCAGAAGGAAGCTACCTGTAGATACTATGATCATAGGCTTCTGGTCTCCATATCCATGAGCAAATAAATTTCTGTCGTCCAAGCCATTCAGTTTGTGATACTTTGTTATAGCAACTCTAACAAACTAATAATTAGGGGCCCATGTTGCATTGCGTTTATATTTCAAAACTGAAATCATTAATGGTTTTCCTCTTGATGACTGGGTTGGAAAGGTTGATTTAATCCTTTCTTTAAAGTGTAGTTCAACATTCATTTATCTCTTTACTCATTCTACTGGATTCTCAGAGTGTGTGAAAATGAACTGCTGTAGAGGTTGCATGGTTTTGATGAAACATTTATGCTCAGAATTAAAAAGGACTGTTTCAATACTATCTCTTTCCTATTTAAAGCAAATAATAGGGTTTAGTTATCATCAACTTAAATTGAGCAGAGGGTACATTCTAGAAGAAGCCTGGTAGAGGGGTGTGGGAGAGGAAGTTTGTGTTGTATTTTGGAGTTTATGATGAGTATTGATTTAGGTCATAGAGAGCTAGATACAATTTGGAAAGGATGAGAACAGAAGTTTAAGACTGTGATATCACTGTACTTTATGCCAAGTAAGGATATTCTGTCCTCTTTAGAGAACAGTATGACTGAAAGAGGGGTTCAGCCAGTGGTCATCTGCATCAGAGCAATACCAAAAACAACCTGGATTTAAACACACTGTACAGGGCCCAGCCAGACCACAGAACCATCTTCGCCTGTTTTCATATGGATGCCTACACCATGCACAGAGCCATATTAAAGAAAAATAAATGACAATCTATCTCTGCTGTAATTTAACACAATTCAAGCCACATTTATTAATGCTTCCGTATGGCATGTATGGTGCCAGTTGTATGAATATGAATAAGTCTTGGGCCATGCTTTATTCGGTTCACAGTCTGGTTAGGAAGATCAAAAAGTCTTCATGAAATATGTCAGACTTGACAATATATCAAGAACATGAATCAAATCTTATTGGTCTTTATATTCCCAATACTTACAATAATGCTGTGGGGGGAGTATTATTACGCCAAGTACTCAGATGAGAACATAAGGGTCACACAGCTGCCAAATGTCAGAGATGAGATTTGAGCTATTGGCCCATCACTATATAATCTTCCTTGTAACTGAAATGGGGGGAGTCTGATGGTTTGTAGCCAGGGAAATGGTGTGTTCTGGCTTGTTTTCAGCTAGGTGGAAAAAAGATTGGAGGGTGGCAACTTTCTACCAAGACTATCTAAGCCAAATTCACAATCAACTCAGAAAACACACATCTCTGATACTCTAATTCTATTAAATTGGTTTGAAGAAAGGCATTTGGTTTATAAATGCTGAACATATAAACTTTTGGTATCATTGAATGTAGAAATAATCCACATAGAAAATGCATGTATTCGTAAGTATTTTAAGTTAATATAGGCCCATGGACATATATCTGGAAGTAAGATTTTTTTTACAATTCACCTTGTTTTGTGCCTTTATCCCATAGGGCTTAATTCCAAAATCAGGCTACAAAAACACAGGATTGAAGTATCATTTTTTAATGGAGGTTCTAACAAAAAAGTAGGACTTTTAAAGTCTGTATCCTCAAACACAACATTTTACCTTCTAAAAGAGCCCTAGACTTTAATGTCTTAAGTCTCATTTTGAAATAATTACTGTCCTGTGCTTTTATTCACAGATCAGAATGCTCATATTGATAAGTGGTAATTCAAGAGGACATTTGGCTTCTGGATGTCAAAAGCTGCAAAAGGAACATATTTTGAAGTGCTTTCAAAATGTTAGTAATGAAACTCTCTGCCTTTCACCTTCAGCTTGCCACGAAGCCAACTGTATTATTCCAACTAACCAACTTCCTACAAGTCTTCACAGCTCACCCACACCCTCAACAATCATAAGAACACAACAGGTATTGGAAATAATTAGAGGTGAAGAAAATGAGAAATCTTTTTAAATGTACTTGTAGCAACACTACAACCTGAGTGGTGACTAGACCTTTCCCAACAGGCAAACTTTATTATTCTAGTTACTTCTTTCAGAAATTATGTTCACATTCTGTTTTGTCTTTATTGTTCCCAGGGAAAGGAAAAAATACTATATATGGATACTTTTTCACATATCCTCCTTTTCCCCTAAAAGACAGTTGATTTTAAAGTTGTATTATTATTTCTTATATTGTTGCTGTTACTATTGTTATTGGTAATGAAACACACCGTTAATCTGACACCCTTTAAAGTCACGCCTGGTAAGGATTTGCAGACACACATGGAAAGACACAGTGGCTCCAAAGTTCTATGACTACACAGTAAGCACTAGTAATCTCTAGTCAGGGGACTGGTGGGTGAAAGGAAGAACTTAGAATGAAATCTGTGTTATCAGTCACTTTTTTCCTTAAGAGAAAGAAACAAATGAAACCATGAAAAGAATGACAGCAATGTGTTATTATTTTGTGCCAGTTTAATAGTATTTTGGCCGTATAAAGAAAACTGTGGCCACTTATGTTTCATTTCCACAAAGAGAAAGACAGCATTTCCTGGGACACGAATCCTGGAGAAATAGTTCCTTGGGATAATAATAGGTATTATAATGAAAAAACATATGAGAAGTTATTGTAAAGGTTTCAACAAAATTAAATGGATCTCATTGGGACAGAACTTCTCGGAGTTTTTAATATACTAATATGCATTATGACACTACAAGAAAAGGGTTTAGTATATAGCATTTCCAAAATTCATCTTTTTTATGGAGCATGCTTCAAGACCAGTGTTCTTCAAAATATGTTAGTGCTCATAACAGAAGATATTTCATTTTGGTATAAGAAATGACTTTACACTATCTCTTGAATCAAAGATGTTACACCATTGATATAATTGAGATTTACTTTGGCTGTTAGCATATCAAATTTTTTCATGTTCTTTTCATAATCTCTATAGACTAATGTCTCATTCAAATGCAGAGGGTAGAAGACATAGCAGCTGGTTGTGTCTTTATTTAGCTGGCTGCACCATAAGTTTTATTATATCTACAAACAGAGTTTATAAATATCTAAAAGGTTGCTATGGTCTTTCGCTAGCAATGGCCCCTGAGGGAAGGACAAGAAATAATTAAAGCAGGAGGTTTAGGAAAAATCATTTTAAAAGGCAGATCAGTTTACTGAAGGACCATGTGCACTCTGCCAGTAAGGGAGGGTTGTAGTTCCATGTAACTTGCTTTGACATCTTAAGAGTGACTTTACACTATATTTTTAGATGAAAGTTCTGTGTTGGGTGATGTGTTCAAACAAAAAATATGGAACACATGGCAATTGGTAAAAATTTGTGAACAGGAAGGTTGACATTTTTAAAGAGGTCCTACCAACAGATTGGAACCCCAACCATTCCAAAGAATTGTGGCAAAATAAAAGGAAGACTCTTGTTATACGATGACCTTCTCTCTTAAAACCTCATTAAGAATATATCTTCTTCTTTCAGCTTTCCAGGAGATGGTATGTATGCTAACAAAAACATTAGGAATTCAAAAGTTGATGTGTTCCCAAGTAGTAACAATTTCCCAAGGAAATATTCCCAGAGTAAACATTTCCTTTCCCAATGCATTCCACAAAGCATCTTTAGAGGCTTTTAAAATTGTATTCCAAGGTTTTTGATTAAATGGTCATGCAGAGTGTTGAAATCAGTTTAGGAGAGTGAGAGGCTAAAGAATAATTTCGTAACTTAGAATCTAGGCCTCCTGGGAATTAATGTTTCCGTGATACAGTCTTCATTCTTCTAAAGGGATCTATTGCTTTTAGTGTATCTTGAAAAGCATATGAAATATTTAAACCAGTTTTACAGTATATTAATACTCTTCTTTCATACTCCATGCATTTGAGAAGAAAGACACTCAATATTTTAATTTTTTTTTTGCTTCTCTTGTTCATGAGGCTTATTTCAGAGGCTTTTTCCCCCAGAATCTTTACTATTGACAGACAGATCTGCTCAATATTTTATGCTCAACAATATATGGTCACTGGCTCCCAATCTGTAATAAATCATTTTTCCTAAGCATAGAATACAAGAAAATTATAAAAAAATATATCATGAACTTACTGGGTAGAATACCAGTAAAACTCAACAATGACAAAAAAAATCAGGCTTAGATTTTTAGAATATGAGAATTAGAAAGGAAATTTGGTATTAGGTAGTTCAACTATCATTATACAGCAAGAAAACTGAACTTTCCTGAGATTAAATGAGTCTTCAGCAAAAATTAGTTAGTTTCAGAGCTCTCTTGTTTTTCAGGCTAGTGGATTTTTGATAGCTCATTTGACTTCGATTTTGACTTTGACTTTAATAGACTTTGACCTATAGTATGTTTGCTCTAAACCTACTTTAGCTATAATTCTTCACTCCACTCCCAAATTCTCAGAATGCTTAAATAAAATTATTCAATTATTTTATTAAAACTACAGTATTGGGTCTACTGGCATAAACCTGTGTTCTGCTTATATTATCCTAATTAAGCTTGGAGGGATCAGCCTGCTCAAAATAATACCCATACACAGGCCCTTTTTACAAATTATTATAAGAAGAGTTCTTCCTCTGTCTTTATATTCTGGCCAACAGAATCCTAAGAAAAGTGTTATTTGATTCACTCAGGTTCAGATACTAGTGACTAAAAACAAGTGTACTTAGTCTCTCAAGACTTTATGTAAATTTTAAAAAGACTAAAGCAATATTGTGGAATATTTTACTTTAGTTTAAACATACATGCATAGTACATACAATAACTGTGAATGTCAAGAACTATCAAATCCCCTCACTAGGGGAAGATTAGACATTTAACTAGGAATGGGAAAATGTCTCTCCCAGTTTGTCTCTGCATCTTCTCTATCATCTCTCATATTGATTCTTTATTCTCTACCGATTCTTTTTTGTTGTGACATATTTTAGCCAAAGACTCATACTGAGTCACAGTGTTGCATATCAGGTCCTCCATCATTCTTTCATTCAAAGATGTAATGAGTGCCTATATGGACTAGGTAGTGGGGATAATAAGGTGAACAATTTACACATAGTCCTTAATCTCAAGGCATTCACATTGTAGTGAAGTATAGAACTTGAACAACTCAAAATGTATAGATTTTCCCACTGAGATCAGTTTCATTAACTTCTGCATTTTTAGTGGTCTGTTAGGGACTTGAAACTCCATCTAAAACACACATTTATGGTTCTATCTCTCCACTAGGGAGATCTAATAAATGAAATGACTAAAACAAAAATGAATTCCTTTTTTTTGAGTTTGGAGGAAATATTTTGAGCTCACTTTTTCATTTTCAAGACTTACTGTTAAGTTCATTGAAAGCCTTCATTTGCAAATAATTACATAAAGTGAAAGGTAAAGGAGTAAATCAGTCCTCTCACTTTTAAGCTGCCTCCTATTAAAATTTACCTTTCAAAATGGTTGACCTTATGGACATAAAATTAAGCCTCATTTATTCAAAGATTACTTAGAAAACTCTGCTAACTGATTTCCAAGTACCTGGAAGAATGCCTACTAACAGACAAAACTGATTTTGTGGTCTCTGTGCCAAAGGTCACGCATGATACCCATAAAAGAGATTGTCTGACAATCCATCAAAGTCCATCATACTTATATTTTGCCTTTGATTTTAATATATTCAATTAGTTTGTTTCCCAATTGACACCAGCTTGTATGTAACAATTCAGGAGAAGCAGTTTTGTAGCCAGGTCCCAGGGAAGCAGTGAGATTTAACCATCTGATAATACAATGGGAAAGGAAGAACAAACAAACAAAATCTGGCTTAAAAGCATCAGTCTGAGGAGATTTGTTGCTATGTGGCCAAAAGCCTGTATTCACTTCAACTGCCCATGAGATTATCATGACCTTTTATTGCATAATAAAGAAATGGATCAATTCATTCAACACACATTTTTAGAGCCTAATACAGGCCTGGAATTGGGGAAGCAAAGAGAAGTGAAAAGTCCTTAATGCTCTTGAAAATTTTACAGTCCAATAGAGAACTCAGAAACAAATCCACACACCTACAGTGAACTCAATTTCAGCAAAGGTGCCAAGAATATCTACTGGGGAAAAGACAGTCTCTCTAATAAATGGTGCAGGGAAAACTGGATATTCATATGCAGAAGAATGAAACTAGATCCCTATCTCTAGCCATTTACAAACATTAAATCAAAATGGACCAAAGACTTAAATCTAAGACCTCAAACTATGAAGCTACTACAAGAAAATAGGGAAAGTCTCCAGGACATTTGGCTGGGCAAAAATTTCTTGAGTAGTACATCACAAGCAAAGACAACCAAAAGCGAAAATAATGCAACCAAAGCAAAAATGGACAAATGGGATCACATAGCGTTAAAAAGCTTCGGCCCAGCAAAGGAAACAATCAACAAAGCGAAAAGCCAATCCACAGAATGGGAGAAAATATCTGTGAACTACCCATCTGACAAGGGATTAATAATCAGAATATATAAGGAGCTCAAACAACTCTATAGGAGAAAATCTATTAGGTTGTTGCAAAAGTAATTGCGGTTTTTGCCATTACTTTTAGATTACTTTCACACCAATTTAATAGTAATCTAATTTAAATAATAGGCAAAATATCGGAATAGACATTTCTCAAAAGAAGTCATACAAATGACAAACAGACATATGCAAAAGTGCTCAACATCATTGATCATCACAGAAATGCACATCAAAACTACAATGAGATATCATCTCACCCCAGTTAAAATGGCTTATATCCAAAAGACAGGCAATAACAAATGCTGGTGAAAATGTGGTGAAAAGGGAACCCTCGTACACTATTAGTGAGAATGTAAATTAGCACAACTACAATGGAGAATACTTTGACAGTTCCTCAAAAACCTAAAAATACACCTGTGATATGATGCAGCAATCCCACTGCTGGGTATATACCCAAAAGAAAGGAATTCAGTGTATCAAAGAGATATCTACACTCTCAGGTTTGTCGCAGCCACTATTCCCAACAGCCAAAATTTGGAAGCAACCCAAGTGTCCATCAACAGATGAAAGGATAAAGAAAATATGGTACTTATACACAATGGAGTACTATTCAGCCATAAAAAGAATGAAATCTTGTCATTTGCAACGACATGGATAGAACTGGAAGTCATTATGCTAAGTGAAATAAACCAGCACAGAAAGACAAACATAGACGTTCTCATTTATTTGTGAGATCTAAAAATCAAAACAATTGAACTCATGAAAATAGAGACTGGAAGGATTGTTACCAGAGGCTGGAAATTGTAGCGTGTGGTGTGTGTTTGTGTGGCAGGGGGCAGGGGAGGTGCTGGGGATGTTAATGGGCCCAAAAAATAGAAAGAATGAATAAGACCTAGTATTTGCTAGCACAACAGAGTGAGAATGGTCAAAAATAATTTAATTGTACATTTTAAATTAATTGAAAGTATAATTGAGTTGTTTATAACACAGATGATAAATTCTTGAAGGGATGAACACCCCATTTTACATGATGTGATTATTATGCATTGTATGCTTGTATCAAAACATTTCATATACCCCATCAATGTATGCACCTACTATGTACCCACAAAAATTAAAATAAAAACACTTAAAACAAAGAAAATTTTACAGTCCAGCTGGGATGGCAAAAACCTAAGCAAATATAATAGAAAAAGATAGAAAGTAGAATGGGTGTACAAAGAGGGAAGAAACTGATTTGTCTTGAAGACTTAATTGATAACTACTATTTGAACTTGGTCTTAAAAGCCAGTTGGGGACTTTCCCAATTGACAGTAGAGGAATGGATATAATAGGAAGAAGATATGGTCTATGAGAAGGCATAGAGTCATGACAGAGCATGTTATGTGTGGTAGGCAGAATTCTAAGATGGCCCCCAAGATTCCCACCCTTGCTGGATGTGCCCTGTATAGTCCCTTCCTCTTGAGTGTGAGCAGGATGTGCCTATGAATATGATGGGATACCAGTCACATGACTATGTTGTATTATCTATCAAAAGGAATTTTACAGTTGCGATTAAGATTCCCAATCAGTTACCTTGGAACTAATAAAAATGAAGTTTGTCATGGGAGAGTCTAACCTAATCAAATAAGCCCTTAACAGAAGTCAAAAAGAGAGAGAGATTCTCCTGATGGCCTTTTTTTTTTTTTTTTTAGACGGAGTCTCACTCTGTTGCCCAGGCTAGAGTGCAATGGCGTGATCTCGGCTCACTGCAACCTCTGCCTCCCAGGTTCAAGTGATTCTCCTGTCTCAGCCTCCTGAGTAGCTGGAACTACAGGCGCCCACCACCATGCCCGGCTAATTTTTTGTATTTTTAATAGAGACAGGATTTCACCATGTTAACCAGGATGGTCTCAATCTCCTGACCTCGTGATCCACCTGCCTCAGCCTCCCAAAGTTCTGGGACTACAGGCATGAGCCACCGCGCCCCGCCCTGTTGGCCTTTAAAGAGCAAAATGTCACATTATGTGTGGGGCCTCTGACACACTATGTGTCAGAGACCTGACAGCTGCCTCTGGGAGATGAGAGTGACCCCCAGTCAACTGTTAGCAATAAAACAGGTACCTCAGTCATACAATGGCAAGAACATAGATTCGACAAACAACCTGAAGGAATTTGGAACCAAATCATTCCCTAGTTCATTTTCCATATGAAAAGACAGCTGCCCCAGGTTTCCATTTCACTTTTGTGAGACTTTGAGTGGAGAATCCAGCTAAAATGCATCAGACTCCTGACCTATAGAAACTATGGAATAATACATTTGTGTCATATGAAGCTGCTAAATTTCTGAAAATTTGTTATGCACCAATAGAAAAATGAATACAGCATTCTTGGGGAACAGAAAGTCAGTTAAAATTTCTGGATTGGGGGCAGGTAGACAACACAACAGGAGGAATACAGATGAGGACAAATAATTAAGGGTCTGAGGCATCATGGAAAGATTTGTTCTGTGGGCCACAGGGAGCTGTTTAAGGTAGTCATTGTAAAGGTAAAGGGTCCCAATAACAAGTTTGTGTTTTAGAAGGTTAATGCTGGCCAGAGTGACAAAGATGGATTGGATAAGAGAGATGATGGAAGAAGGGAACTGAGGTGGGCTGTGCTAAAATAATCCTAATAAATCATTAGGAAAGTTTATTGAAAGGTAATGACAGCAGTGAGGAAGAAAGGAAGATTAGAAAGATATTTAGAAGGTAAGATCAACCTGATGACTGACAGGAGACCAGCATGAAAGAGGAAGATTAGTGAAGAATGATTCAAACATCCTTGCCTCAATGATATGAGAATAAGAAAAGATAAACAATTAGAGAGAGAACTTACTTTCTATTTTGAAAATGTCATGTTTTAATTGATTGCAGTAATTCTAAGTGGTTAAGAAGGAACTGCTAGGCAGTTAAAAATGTAGTTCTGGACTCTGGAACAAGGTGAAGGCTGGAGATTTGTTTGGATAGTTATCAGTAGAGTTTAAAGCACAGGAATAAATGAGATAATTCATGTAGAAGATGTACTTGGAAAATATGATGACAGAGTGAACTTGGAGGGACATCAACATTTAAGTGTACAAATAAGAGGAGCAGGGGAGGAAAATAAGAAATTCTTTTTACAATAAGAATAAAATCTAGAGAAAATCATATATTGAAAGCTAAGGGAGGATAAATTTTCAAAGAAATAAAGGTTGAAGATTGCCATATGTTAATTAGTAAGTAGAGTAAGCATTAAAGGAAAGCATTTGGGTTTAACAATAAGAAAATCCTTGGCCCTATTAAGAACAGTGTTACCTTAGTAAGAGAGTTGCAAAGCAATTGTGGATGTTAAAGTTATAGTGCAGTGGATTTTAAGAACGAATGGGGAGAGATACATAGTGGAATAAAAGGACTACGGTGACTTCCTTTTAAATAGCTGGGCAACAAGGGATTCTTCTCAGTGGAAACTAAGGGAAAGGACAGCATTTTTATAAGTACAAAGATAATCCATAGAATGGGAGAAATTATTCACAAATCATATACCTAGTAATGGCTTGTGTCTAGAATATATAAAAAACCCTCACCACTCAGTAATAAAAAGACAACCACAATGTTTTTCAGATCTTTTTGGATTCCAAATTTGTATATCTTTCCAAAGATATACAAATGGCCAATGAGCACACACACAAAATGCTCGACATCATTACTCATCAGAGAGATGCAAATCAAAATCACAATGGATGACTATAATTAAACAGGTTAACAAGAGTTGACAAGGATGTGGAGAAATTAGAACCCTCATATACTACTGGTGGGGATGTAAAATGGTACAGCCACTTTGAAAAGCAGTCTGGCAGTTCTTTAAATGATTAAACACAGAATCATCATATGACCTAGCAATTTCGTTCCTAGGTGTATATCAAAAGGGAATGAAAATTTATGTCCACACTTGTGGATACAAAACATATACACAAATGTTTATAGCAGCATTATTTAAAAGAGCCAAAGGCAGAAACAACCCAAATTAATGGAGAAATGGATTTTAAATTTGTGGTGTATTCACACAATGCAATTTTATGTAGCCTTAAAGAGGAACAATATCCAGATACATGCAACAAATGATGAACCTTGAAAATATTATGCTGAGTCAAAAAAGCCTGCCACAAAAGACTATGTATTGTTTGATTCTGTTCATATGGAAGTACAGAATGGGGAGATTTATTGAGTCAGAAAGTAGATTGGTGTTGCTTTAAGCTGGGATAGGGAAGTGCAGGAGTGCAGTGCCAAAGTATAAGCAGGGAAAATAGCGAATGGGTATATATTTCTTTCTGAAAGTGTTCTAAAATTGACTATGATGATGGTTGCACAAAAATGTGAATATTCTAAAAAATCATTGAATTGTATTATTTAAATGGGTGAATTGTACTACATTAAAGCTGTTTTTAAAAAATAAATTTAAAAGAGAGATTCAAGATAGATAGGGTTGAAAGGAACATTTCTTTTAGCTTGTGAGAGATTCCAGTATGTTTGCATTTGGAAGGGAAAGAGTTGGTGGCTATTCATGGAGATTGATGGCCATGATGATAACTCTGAATCATCAGAAAAGGTCAAATCCTGTTCAATATGTAATATCTTTTAGAAAGAGTTCCAGTAAAAACATCTAGATGAAATTGACTACTTTGAACACGAAACTTGCTTTCTTTTACAGGAAAATTAATTTGTGAGGAACATGCGTTCCCTCAATGATGATGGACAAATGAGGTGTTACTCTAACTAGGGGAATAATGGTTACCAAAAAAGTGTCTTTCTGCAAAATTATTTTTTATTTCTAAAGTTTTGAGGAAATTTTATGGATTATAAAGAAAGAAAAGGAAAAATGTACCAAATGTCATGCTTCTCATACGGTTGTTAATTAGATCTGGGTTAACATTTAGCTGCCTGGCTCATTAGATGTAAATGTTATATGGTTAGGCTACAAACCTGTTCCACTACTAGATCAAGAATGGAAGGCCTACAGTAGCCACCTATCCAGCTGATATATTTTAACCAGGATACGTTCTGGTATTCCTTGTGTTTCAGCCAAAATCTTTTCTGTCACCATTGTGTTTCTCTTTTGAAATTGTGTTCAGCATTATTATTGCTTTTATTTATTTTTTACAAAGTACTTCATTACTGTTCAATGCCTGCAGTTGCAGCACATTGCCTGGATATTAAAAACAGATTGTTAAACACTTGCTGGCAAAATCCCAGAGGATCTATGTGGATGTATTTGTTTTAAAATTTATTAAAATTCTCTGGCTACAGATTAATTTTGCTTGTTCAATATTTTTTATTGTTTCACCTGCTGTTGAGTAGAAGCTGCAACTGGAAAAGTTTTTGTTTCATTTAAGTTACCAAGTTCTATCAAAATTGTTTGAAAGTTCCTAAACATTTTTTTTTTATTGGAATGATTTGCTTTGAAATAACCCACCACCCTCAGGAGGGGGTTACTCACACAAGGTATCCAGATGTCTTGGGTAAGGAGCAAATATTCAGCATCCTTAAGGAAGGGCAAGAGCACTTGGAACTTGGCAGGAGCTCAGCCCATTAAGAGAAGAGACTCCACTCCTCTGTTGATGACCAAGGAAAATGGTCTGCTGGATTCCGAGTGTGAGAAAAGGCAGCTGAGCCTTGTATTTGATGGAATAAGCCAGGCAAAACAATTTGCCTAGTGCTGTAAGGGCGAGCCAGATCAGAGCATCCTGTGAAAGGAAGTCTGAGAGGGACAGGGATTCATTCCTGGGAAAGAGCATCATCACAGCAAACTGCTTAATAAATAAGCACTGTTTTTTTTCTTGATTTGGATTTGAGTTTCAATGTAGAGGTCAAATGATTTTTAAAAACCAACAAATAAACAAATAGAAGAAGGGGTTCTGGTTTATATAAAAATGATGAGCTTCAATTTGGTACCTATTCAGAGAAGAAAGCATCTGAGAGAGGAAAAAAATTATTAGGGACTTTGGGGGGAGTTTTTTTTAATGCCAAATATGAAAATGGGCCTATCCTGCTCTTCCTCTAAGATTTACCACATAATTCTCCTGCTTTTCTATTATGAGACCAGAAATTCTAAATAAGCCCCTTCTAGTGTGCTCAGAGGTTGGATCAATAGACACGAACTAAAAGAAGCCTGAATTCTATAAAGCATTTTGTTATCCAACGGCACAGATCCATTGATATGAATCTATATGTTGCCAATATATTAATATGAGAATGGAAAAGCCACAGAATTAGGGCTACAAAACTTTAGTTGGAATCACTGTTCCTCAGTTAATAGCTGAGTGACCATTAGTCTCTTTAAGCCTCAATTGCTTTATTTTTACCTCTGTTTCCTCATCTGCAAATTGGGGATAAAATATTATCTGATGTAGTTCAACAATCAACTGAGACATATGAATATATCATATATATGCTACAATGTGTCACATATATATACATATATATATATGAAAGCTCTTCATAGGTAACAAAACATAAAATATTAATACTTACATTAACTAGAAAATATCCTTAAACATTTTTAATCCAAATTTACAAAGCCAGGATTTGAACATAGGGCCACATGACTTCACAGTTTTTTTTTCCCCAAATTTCCTTGTTAGTTAATCAGCTTTCAATGAATATTTACAACACACAAGACTTTTTTTTTTTGAGGGCTACCAAATGGAAGCAGATGTAGATAATGTTTTCAAGGAGCTGATAGTTTATTCTAGAGAATAAGACATGGGTACAAATTATCTACCCCCATGAGTCAGAAAATAATCGAGTCTTAAGAGATGTCAATTCAACTGATTATTTGATAATTACCTACTCTACATCTGCAATGTGACAGATACTGTGTTGCCTGGGGACACAATGATAAGCAGAAACAGACATGTTTAATTTTCTTGCCAGTTTGGAGCTGATAGTCTAGAGGAAGAAGACAGATGTTGATCAAATAAACGCAAAATCACAACATTTATAAGGGCTTAAAAGCAAAGATACTTGGAAAGTGGTGGATGACTCAGAGAAGAAAGACTACCTCCAACAGATAATAAAGAAGAATGCTTTATAGAATAGAGCTCATCAGAGCTCAGCTTTTGAAGATAGGTAAGATTCAGATTTACAGAGTAGAAGGGAAAGTTGTCTCAGAGGGTACATGCAGTATGAGACAAAGAATAGGTTTAGTCAAGAAATGAGTCTTTAAAAGTGTTTGAAGGAATTGAAAGTAAATCCATTTGTCTAAGAGGTTTAGAAAACTAAAAATTGACAAGTATGTTGCAACCAAATTGTGAGGGTTTTGAATGCCTGGGAGGCAGAGGTTGCAGTGAGCCGAGATCACGCCATTGCACTCTAGCCTGGGCGACAGAGTGAGACTCCGTCTAAAAAAAAAAAAAAAAAAAAAAAAAAAAAAAAAAAAATGGCCAACAGGAGAATCTCTCTCTCTTTTTGACTTCTGTTAAGGGCTTACTTGATTAGGTTAGACTGTCCCATGACAAACTTCATTTTTATTAGTTCCAAGGCAGCTGATTGGGAATCTTAATCGCAACTGTAAAATTCCTTTTGATAGATAATACAACATAGTCATGTGACTGGTATCCCATCATATTCATAGGCACATCCTGCTATGCCAGTGAATTTTGTCGGCACCCAAAAGGGGGGATTTATTATATGGAATTTTTCATTTAACTCAGGTGTTTCACAGAATACAAATTGGGGGAAATCTGTTTATAGTATTATTTGGATTTCTAAGCATGCTAATGGATTCATTTAGGTTGCTTTTTTTTTAAAAAAAAAAGTAAGTATTTATTAGCCTGAGTCATGCCTACTAATGAATATATTTGAATGATGAGAATTTTGACTGCCTTTGTTCATAATGGTGAATTGGAATACACTGATATTTTTAAACTGTTATTACTTTTTCAAGGGTTGACTCAAGAATTCAGGGGTGTGTATAGGAGGGGAAGTGGTTTCTCTATCAGTGTTGGCAAAACTTGGCTTGAAGCTTAAGATAAGACAATAAACAGATACTGCATTCCTCCTCTGGGAACATTTGGATTGCGCATTTTGAGTTTCTTAGAAACTGAGTGACTCATTACCATCCATCAATGTGTACTCCACCTTTAATGAAGGTATAATACATTTCCAGCATAGGTGTAGAGTAGATATCCTAATCATCTCTATGAAAAACGTATGTAATTGTAGCAAGCCCTGGGAGCATCCATTTGTACAGCATGACTCTGGGCCCTTAGACACAGTTGATTGGTCTGGGATATGGATCCATGACTTCAGCTAAGCCAATGAGAATCTCTTCTCCAGAAGTTTCAAACTGGAATAAGATTCTGGATTTGGTTATGGTTTATCTCTTCATTGCTGTCACCCAGGCATAGTAAACAGGTCTATTTACCACCAAATGGACTAGCATGCGGAGAAAGTTTGTCTGCAGAGCATGAGAAAGGAGAAGCTTATATACAAGAGAGGAAGAGTTGAGAAGTAGAGAGAGGCCTTGGCTTTCCAATCTCTGGTTCTCACTCCTGCTGGTTCCCACGACATTTTGACCCCAAATGTGTACTGTAGGACATCTGTGTATCCTATTATTCCCCTCTACCTCCAAAAAAACTTGAGTTTGTTTTTTATCTTTCCAAACAATTCCCCTCTAACCCAAACAGAGGGAATGGTATTGTTCCAAACACTGGAAGTGTGTGGTTGGTAAAACAGAAAAGTCAATTAGAGACAAAATATAACACAATGGAAAATTCATGGCCTTGGGTAGCAGACACGTCGGGGTTAGAATCCTGGCTCTTCCGATTGCAGAAGTCCACTGACGGTGGGAAGTGATACACTCTATAGACCTCAGTTTTCTCATCAGTAAAATGAGTATAATAAAAATGGTCACCTGAGAGAGTTTGGGTAAGGATTTAATGAGATGATGTATAAAATACTGAAAAATCCCATGGCACATAATGAGAATTCAATACATCTTAATAACCACGATTGTTGATTCTTTCGTGGAAATAACTTTAATAAAGTATGTCATCTTCACAATCGTCAAAGATCAGATTTTTGATGATGAGGTTGTTGTTCGTGTTTGTTTGTTTTATTGTGTTTTGTTTTTGAGGTTTGTGACACTGAAGAGGATTGGACAGAAAGGCCTGGGCTGGACTCTGGAGGGGACTATGGACAGCCACAAGGCAGATAGCCCTGGCTATAGGAATCAAGAAGGCAGCCGGGGTCGGGGGAGGAATACAGAAAGCAGAGGGTTGGTTGCGGGGGGCAGCGCAGGGGCCGGGGGATTCAGAAGGATGGTCCTGGAAAAGATACTCTGGTGTGCTGAATGTCCCTGAAAATCTCCTTCTAGATCAGGAGCACCTTCCACACATCTACACTAAGGAGTCCGATCATCACTTCCACTCAATTCTCCAGCATAAGTAAGCTCTATCTTCATGATGACTGAGTGACCACCCCTTCCAATTTCATAAGGGCAAGATACATGTGAATCACCCTAGGATAAAATCAGCCTCATGGAAAGGTACCCAGCAGCCCTCCTGCAGGCAAGGATCTCCAGAACTTAAGAAGAGGGCAGGAAAAGCTTTAGGTTCCAGTCCAAATGCTCAGGATTTGGGGGTGAAACCAGCTCAGGTCATGCCCTCTAATGTGCAGGCTTCCACTTTCCTGACCAATAAGATTCAGTAACCCTCTTCTTGCCTTGGCTCTGTTGGGTGCTTGAGAAGCAAAGTAAACATTGTTGACATGACTGTAAGGAATACAATTTTATTTTTGACAGTGTTCTAACAGGAAAATGGACTGTTGTCAACACATGGTTTTCTTTTGTATTGGTCATTTTCTGTGGATTTCTCTCTGCATCCTTTTTCATATTGCCTTTTTGCTGTCTGTAAGATTCGATGTTCTATTGGCAAAGATAATAACAGAGATAAGAATGTTTTTATTTCTGCAGGAACAAAAGAACTTAAGTGAACCTGTTTTGAGGTAGTGCTTAAGGTGGAGAAAATTCTCTAGATTAAAAAGCTGGAGAGTGAGGAAAGGAAAACAAAATAGGGGCTCAGAATTGGATAAATGAGCAGAGGGGTTTGACTCACGCTCTGAAGGAGGAGAGAATTATAGACTGACCTGTGTGTGTCCCCTTCTCTCAGTGAGGGCAGCTGGTAAAGACTGCAGCCCAGAACATTCTTTTATTGAATTCTGTTGTTTTTCTGGGTTGGCACAGAAAAATATGTCTCCTGGTTACCATGATTTTGTTCTTTTGCCTAGGACATCCAGATACTTCTTTTAGAGATGCCACGGGTTACATTCCCTGGCAGGATATTAGTTCCTGTTAAGAAACAAAAATATGCCCCAATTCTTGATTAAAAGCATGAATTATTTTTTGATAATATATTTTAATGTGACCTCTCATTTTTTCTGGCTCATTCTCTAAATTTACACATCGGTCTCTGGAGGTTTCCTTGCCATAACTCTCACCTTACTGTTTTATTAGTGTTGTTAGGTGTTTTGCTTTTTTTTTTTTTTCATTTGTCAAGACCATTTAAAGATGGTAATAAGTGCTGGTCAATAATTCAGCTCTGGGTCTTTTCAGTTGCTTTCTCAGCTCTGCAATTTAGAACCAAATGGAATTAGAATCCATAAGCTGTGTGGCTGCTTTATCAATGGCACAGGATTTAGCTCATAAGATTAGGGGGAAAAGAAAAACCTAACAAAATAAAGGAAATTTTTTTCCTAACTTATTTTACATATTGAATGGTAACCCCATGCTACCCATTAGGTGAAAAAACACATTGTATGTAAAAATGGACTTTGAAAATATCAATAAAATGATTGATTAATAAGTGACCTCATGAATCAAGCAAATAAACATGGGAATGAATTCAAGTAGGTGAGAAAAAGAAATGTGATATAAAGAAAGTGGGCTTATGAAAAGGATGGAAGATGATAGTGTGGAGAAAGGCAGTGCATCCACACAGTCTTCTGATTCCTTCTCATGACTTCTGAATAGGCCTTGGGTCTGAAACACTTCTTTACCAAGAGATAGAGTCCTCACTGCCTGTGCAAGATTCATCACCTTGAGTGGAAGTATCATTTCCTGTTTCAGACTCAATGCATACTCCTTCTTTCTGAACAAGTGTGTGTCCTATGTCACCTGACCAACCTTACTAGCATATCTGCCTCTGGCAGGAAGGGGATCGAGTCCTTCTGACACAGCACAAGAGGGTATGTGCAGGCCAGTTGCCTCATGTTGGCTACTGGGAGGGGGCCCGCTGGCCATGGAAGACTCACCACTGATTCTGTTTTTCTTTTCTTTTTTTTCTTTTCTTTTCTTTTCTTTTCTTTTCTTTTCCTTTCCTTTCCTTTTCTTTCTCTTTCTTTCTTTCTTTCTTTCTCTTTCTCTTTCTCTCTCTCTCTTTCTTTTTTTTTCTTTCTTTCTTTTTTTCTTTTTTTGGAGACAGAGTCTCACTCTGTCACTCAGGCTGGAGTGCAGTGGCACAATCTCGGCTCACTGTACCCTCCGCCTCCCAGGTTCAAAGTGATTCTCCTGCCTCAGCCTCCTGAATAGGTGGGACTACAGGCACATGCCACCACACCTTGCTAATTGTTGTATTTTTTAGTAGAGATGGGATTTTACCATGTTGGTCAGGCTGGTCTCGAACTCCTGACCTCAAGTGATCCACCTGCCTTGGCCTCCCAGAGTGCTGGGATTACAGGCGTGAGCCACCAAGCCTGGTTGCTCTGTCTCTTTTCTAGGTGAGTAAAGTGTTCTTCCATCCAGTGCTTGACTGCATTGTGTTTTCCTTGGTGACTCCAAAACCAATATGCAGTGAGTGGAAGTACTCAGACTTCTACCCCTGATAATAGGTGACAGATGGTACTTGCTCGACTGATAGAAAAGGTTTGAGCTGGCAGAGCAGCCATGGTGGGAAATGTATCTCAAACAAAGGGCTGAGGGAGCTTAATTCCATCTTCTCTTGGAACATTCCCAAGTAATTGTCTCTTTTCATCTATGTAATATTATTTCCCATTATACTCTCCTGGAATTGTAGAACACAGAAATCTGGTCCACTATCTATATAAAGATAAATAAATAGATTAAATAAGATGCTACAAAGTTGTCATTTGCATGATTAGAGAAAGAAAAAGTCACTGGAGAAGTCCATTCCAAAAGAGACAGAATGAAGACTTAGGAATTGGAATGCTAGAAAAGTCTTGGTTTTTATTTTATTTTTTTAGATAAGCCTAACTATTGTAAGTGTTGCAATTTTATAGAATACATTCATTCATCCCACAGGCTCACCAACTCCCAGATGACAGGCATATGTTAAGTGCTAAAGGTATTTCATTTCAAGGATTTAATGGTTTTAGGTGGGGTGGAGATTTATATGTAAACAACTTACACAACAACCTTATGTCAAGGATTGCTAATAGTAGCACAGAAAATTGCAATGGAAATTCAAAGGAAGTCACTATCAATTCAGCTTGGAGGTTGTCAATATCACTTCATAGAGGGGCCAACAGGTAACTTACAATTTGAAAGACGAGCAGGAGTTCACCAGGTGACTGAGGGAGGGTGCCTTTTCTGGTGAAAGGAAAGGCTTAAAGAAGGCAACTACATGCATGACTAATGTGATATGGCAAAGGTGTGGCTGAGGTATGGAGTGCATGGATATGTAAATGGAGGGTAACAACATGGAGTAGATGCATAGGGTAGAGTCAGCTGAAGAAGAGATTCTTCTGCTGTGTTCTCTAGATTCAGAATTTTGGACTCTGTCTTAGGCATTAAGGATCTACTGTCTGGTTTTTATTTGTATACTTCTTTGTAGTGAGAAACATGAAAAAAATGTGTCTCAAAGGGTGGATTCTTCTATGGTTTATAGAAAGGTTAGAAAGTGATAGAAAAAGACCAGCTCAACGTATAATCTGGTAATAGATGAGAAGTAATTAAACTTGAACTAAGCTTGTGGCAGAACAGATGAAGAAAAGACGAAGGATTCAAGGCATATTGATGAGGTACAGTTAATAGGACTTGGTGACAGGTTGAATTGGAATGTTGGAAGAAAAAATGAGAAATAACCCAAACATCTCAAGCTTAAGCAACTGGGTGTTGTCATTCATTGCTTCAGTATATAGAAAGGGGGCAAGTTTGTGAGAGAATGTAGTGAATTTGTTTTGAGCAGGTCAAATTGAGGTCTCTGTGGAGCAGCCAGGATGACCTTGTCTTCTATTCAAGTGGGAATACAGGACTGGGGTTTAGGAAAGCTAAGGGGACTAGGAATATTGCTTTGGTGGTCACTGGACTATAAGGGAAAATGGAAGTCATGAATGTGGATAAGATCACCCAGCAAGGGCACAGAGAGTAGGAAGAATGATGTCTGTGGTTGTGAGGGGGAAATCAGCAAAGGAGATGGAGGAGAAGGAAGGAGTCACAGTGGTAGAAGAACAAGAAAAGAGCAGAGGGGAAAATAGTTTGAAGGCAGAAGCCAGATGGTAGTGGGTTGAACACTGAAGGGAGGGTGCAGAAATGCAAGAATCAGTGATTTGCAGATTATTGGAAAGAGTACATTAAAAGGAGAGATAGGCACGTGTATAGATGAGGGAGGGGGTCCAGGGGAGAGAGGACCGTCGAAGATTCAGCAGACGGCAGAGATAACAGAGGAAGAGTCCTTTCTGTTGCCACATGCTTTAAGATTACATGTCCCAGTCTCAACTGCAGCTTTGTGGGGAACGGAATAGTAGCCAATTAAAAGTGGAATTAATCTATAGCAAGATCTACCTGGGTGGGGATAGTGTATTTTGTTTTTAAAACCAAAACAAAAAGAATTGCAAACTTATGAACCATTTATAGTTCTTTTTTTCTCCATAAACTATTCAAGTTAACAGGGGAAAAATAAAGTTTCTAAATAAAGTCTTTCCCTAGGATTGCATTTTTGACTTGCCAAGCCAAACGAACCAAATCTTTTGTTTCTCTAGCAATCTTGCTTCCCAAGAAAAATACACCTGCAAGTATCAGGGGCCAGGTTCTTCCCACCCTCAGCCAATATTTTTTTTTCTTTTGCCCCTAAATCAACGTTAGAGGGCACTTCTACATTGTGCTATGTTATCCTTCAGCCAAGAAGGTTAAGCAAGTATAAGTTAAAGCAATCAAGTCATTCTCTTTATTTTGGAGGTGAAGTAATTCTTCACTCATTTGCTCCTGCAGATGCTCAGGCTATGAAGTGATCTCTTCAATATATTCCAGCAGTATACGGAGTTGGAGGATTCCTGACAGTTCTGGCACAGTAGACTGCAAGTAACCATGTGTTAGTGCTTGTGATAATAGCTATTGTCTGTACCATCTAATTATCTCGTCTGGCATTCTATAATTAGTCATTCTTCTATGGCTTGATGAGAAGCAAACTCTTCATATTTTTATGTGCATCATGGAGACATGGATTCCCTAAGTGCAGAATCCAGACACTCTCTATGTAAAGCCCTGGCATGTAGAGAGGCTTTGTAAAATTCAAAACTATGGAAACTTTACCCAGTGTATTTGACTCTGGAAGTTTGGGTTTTTTTAAAAAATAGAACTAAAGGGATAATTCTTGAGATAAGTCTGGTTTCTAGAAGTTCCTATACACCTAGATGTGGTTACTTAGTGGTTAGTTTTTCTACTTATTAAAGGAAAATAAAACCAGTTAACAATTGTTGAATGCTTACTCTGTGTTAGGTGCCAGGAGAAGTGCATCATTCACCTTACCACTTTACTTTTCACAACAGACCTGAGAGATATGTTCATGCTGTGCCTATTACATACACCTAGAATCTGGGACTTAAGGGTTAGTGAATACTACTTATCACAACTAGTGAAGGGTGGAGCTGACAGCTGATTCCATATCTGTCTGACATTTCCTAGTGCCCTCTTCTGCTTTCATTTTAAGGTATTTCTTTATGTACATATCCACAAGGAACCAAAATACTGGATCTATATGGACATAGAGAGTAGTAGCAAGAAAGAACCATCAATGGATTTTACTCCTCACCCTATGAAGGACAAATGCCTCAAAGAGGCTACCTAGATCTTCATCAGTGTGATTTTTCATTCATCTCTCAGACCATCTTCAACTCCCACGTAACAGATACCTTCACTGACTCTGACATAAGCAATATACATAGGCACATTTGGAATGCCTTCTCTTCTTTCCTTCTACCCAAATCTCCCCTCTGAACCTAGTTAGTATTTCTCCTTTTCCAATGAAGCCAACAGTAAGTGCACAAGCCTTAATGAGCTTTTCCTTCTCTGCTCTTTTGTTTCACTTACAGAGAGTTTTGGATAATTTAATTTAATTTATACTGCAATATGCTTTTACCCAGCTCTTCCTATTTACCTTGTGTCCTTTCAATCCTTTTATTCTTTAATGCTGTCTGGTTTTTGACATGAATTTGAGGCCTCTAGTAAGGAGGAGGAAAGTGCTCAACAGTATTTTTGGATGAGAAGATGCCCATTTGATTTTGTTGAAGTAATTGTGATGGGGAAAGGGAGAGAGAAAAACTATGTAGGAAAAATGTTAACTTTTGAATTGTGAAGCCAAGGCAAGACTACATGATGCTGCTTGATGGCAATACAAAGATAACGTTTTTTGACATGCTAAGCCTGCTCTTGATCACAGGAAACAAAGCAATCTCACCGGCTCCCTCAGTGTGTGTAGAAACCCAGCACAGGCCAAGATACCAGCCAACTGTGAACATGCAGTTCAACCCAGAAGGTAAACACCCCAGAGGAGTGTTTCCTGTATGTCGACTGTTGTCATTTAGCTCCCACTCCACCCTGTTCTATAATCTCTCTTATATCATAGGGAATGGAAGAAATACAGTTAGAAATACATTCTACTACACTCTCTCACTCACAGACTTTTGTTACCATTTAACATTAACAAATCTTTGAACAAGATGTGAAGGCTGGCCAGGCACGGTGCCTCCCACCTATGATCCCCACACTTTGGGAAGCCGAGGCGGGTGGATCACCTGAGGTCAGGAGTTTGAGACCAGCCTGGCCAACATTGTGAAACCCAATCTCTACTAAAAATACAAAATTAGCCGGATGTGGTGGCGCATGCCTGTAATCCCAGCTACTAGGGAGGCTGACGCAGGAGAATCACTTGAACCTGGGAGGCGAAGGTGGCGGTGAGCTGAGATCGCGCCACTGCACTCTAGCCTTTCATCCAGTTTCCTGGTCTTTTGCCCTACGGTGTGGCAGCATTTTCCGGTTGTTTTGCCAAAGAGGCAGGAATGTTAGTGGACCCTCTCTCAATCTTTGCTTTTTTAGCCCTTCTAACAGTTTGCTAAGCACATTTCCCTTTATTGTACCCTTTTTTTTATTTGAAACACCTAGAATGAGTTCTATTTTCTTGATTTACACAGAAAAGGACTTAAGCTAGGACTAGAATCCAAACTCCAGCCACAGGGAGAAAGGTCAGAGAACAGGGAGCAGTTATGACTAAAATGTCTGGTTTCGATAATAAGCCAAATTCTTCTCTCCTTGTCCTCTCCAGGCTGTGCACTTTCTCTGTACACAGACTATAATTTGGAACGGATGACACCTATGTCCCTGCTGTCCCCCTCTTAGCTTCTACTATTGCTGTTGGAGCTGTTGACACCTGGCCTTTATTACTCACAAGAGCAATACTAGAACTGTCTTACTAGACCAGAACAGCCACCAAGAGTAGTCTTTGCTTCCATAACATGTGGATTTGAGTTATGACTTAGTGACTTGAGGGATCCCAGAGTTTGACTTTGGCGGGCCTGCTGCATCATTCATAGATGGTGAGAAAGATTGCTTGGCATTTGTCCTGATACTAGGAATAACTAAAAACCTGTTCTCAAGTGAATGTTATTTTGTCCCATCCTCTAATTCTTCTCGAGCTTGGGCTAAGGGTGGACATCATTCCTGAGGATGTCACAGAGAGTAATGACTCCTGTAAATATCCCCTTTTATTTTGAAGGGCAAGTAGATCATCAAAACTAGAAAGAAATCTCCTGTACCTTGGAAATGAAGTAACCTGGGACTCCCATACTTCCTAGAAAATTAGAGTTTAGGTCAAACGAGGACTTTTCAGTAGACTGAAAGCTCTGAAAGAATCTCATGTTTCCCTACTCAGTCCCTTTCATCCCATCCCTTAGATTTTTCACTTAAGCCCCAGGGAAAACACTGCATATATTTATTTCTTGTGGCCACCCTTAAACTTGAAGAATCAGGAGGAGTTCCTTCACCTTAGAAATCCAAAATTTCTGTGGAGGAGAAAAGTAAAGTTTTCTTTTGGAAAATATGGGGAAAGCTAATTGATAGAGTGTTGGAAAAAAAATTAGAAGTGTTACACTCATCTCTTCTTCAGCTCCGAAGATGGAAATTCTCCCTCTTGATGGGGATAAGTTTCTGGTCATGTCTGGCATGTAACTGGTATTAAAACCTTCATGAATTTATCAATAAGATGGAGACAAGCTGATGGAGGCCACACTGCTATAATCTTTCGGGAACTGAAACCTATTGAAAATATAAACAGTTGAGTAGCCTCAAACAAAACTATTGAGTAGCCTCAACTACTTCTACAGGGGTCCCAAAGACATTTCCTGTATTGCTGAATATAGCCTTATGCTGATTAGCAGCACTATATCACAAATGCATCGTTAGCCCTCGTATCCCTTTTTCATAGAATAGCTTAATGGCGGGGTGAGGATGAAGGTTAGAGCTGGAAGTGCTAACGCATAGTACATGTTTTGAAGAAATGCTGCTCCCAAGACAGGCAAGACCCTATTCAAAATTCATGATACCAACTCTGCCTTGCCAGTAGGGGTAGCTGCTGAGCTGCCAAAAGTTGACCTTCTATTAGAGAGTCAGCCCAGGTGGGAGCTTGGAGAACTGGTCCAAGTTTTCCAGTTTATTTCCAACCACTCCACCTAAAATACGGTATCTTCCAGCCATGCAGAAGATACCATACTTTACCACATTACTCACCATTACTTTACCGCACCCAAGTTGCTTTTGCTCACATTGTTCTCTTTCTGCCAGGAATATTATTTCCTTCCTACTCTTCAAAGCCCAGATCAGATATGACCCTTTGTGAACCAACCACCCAGGAACCCCTACATGAAACAAATCTTCCCCTAAACAATGTGCCTGTCCATTCTTTCTTTCTATCATCTACCTATCTATATCTATCTCTATTATCTATCTAATATCTATCTATCATCTCTATAGCTCACACTGTGTTGCAGGTGGTTGTTTACCTATCTGTTTCTCCATCTGGAATGTGAAGTTTCTGAGGGCAAATTCATGTGGCATTTACCTTTATATCCCAGAACCTAGTACAATTGCTGCCATATACACACTCCTCTGGACAAGGAAGTGGTCACTATCAAGAAATCATATCAGGATTGCTTAAAGAGTTTATATTCCAAAAGATACCATGATATTTTGGGGCCAATAGGATTTTTAGGTCTAGCTATTCATCCAAGGAGTAAGAAACATACTTCTCATTGAACTCCGTAGGCAACATATTGGTACGTGTGAGCTGAGTGATTCCTGGCTGAGGCAGCTTCCTCACTTTAAGGGGTTGCATTTTTTATAGGATAGCAAAGGGAGCGGAAATTGAACAGTTAAAGTTATTAGAAACCCGGAGAAGAGAGGTACTGAAGATACCCACAACATGCCCTGGATAGACAGCGCATGCATGTCTGGAGTCAATGAGAATTGCCATCCCTGGTAGAGAGGGTCTGAGCCTCCATCTGGGTCATAAAACCAGCAGAGTAGATTTTTCTTGCAGGCCAATCATAATGCTTAAGAAATGATTCCCCACTGACTTCTTTCACCACCAGGTAGTTTTAGGAGATGAGAGTGGGGTGGGAAAGGGAGGATTTCAAGAATCAGAATTCTTATAACAAGGAAGAATTTCCACATCAAAACCTGGATTTGTAGATCTGTTTTATGCCAAGTGTGAAAAGGCACGAAATAGCTAGGCATGAGCTATTCCCCAAAGACTTGTCCTTTACTAGAAAGAACTTTATAAATGTTAATAGGTACTAGACTAGCTGGAAGCAGATTTGCTCTGGGCCCAAAAACGTAAAATAATCATCACTTTGTTTGTCTGATTCTAAACGGACTTAGTATTGATTTGCATTATAAGAATTCCAAATTCCCACCACTCTGGGAAAGTCATCCAAACCCACTACTTTTCATTCCTGGTAGTTTTCTGCACATGAAACTTCCTTTTCAATTTTGTACCAAGTCTGGAGAAGAATACACATGAGAGAAAGTCTGACCATTGCATCTGCTCTCTTTCCATGGTTCCAGCCCAAACACTTGAGAATGGGTTCCATTTCAACTGGTTTCAAGGGTGTGGCTCAAGTTCAGTCTGTGTACAAAGGAAGGAGTTCAAATTAGTCATAGACCCTAAGAAAGCCTGAGAACAAAAAGTAGGTATAGTATGTACCAGAGGGTTTGCCTCTATTACATGGGACTTAGAAACACACATTATCACTGCATTTCCTGTCATAAAAATATAAGTTCAGAATTTTAGAGTGAAAGAGACTTTAGAAATTATCTCCCTTACTTTACAGTTAAGGATAGACCATACAGTGAGTCAGCAGTGCTGAGGCCAGACACTTCATCTTCTAACTTCCTCAGCACACCTCTTCCTCTCTACTGCAAACTCTCTCCATTACAGAACATTTAATTTTTTTTTTTTTTTTTTTGACAGAGTCTTGCTCTGTCACCCAGGCTGGAGTGCAATGGCGCAATCTCAGCTCACTGCAACCTCCGCTACCCAGGTTCAAGCTATTCTTCTGCCTCAGCCTCCTGAGTAGCTAGGATTACAGGTGCGTGCCACCACACCTTACTAATTTTTGTATTTTTAGTAGAGATGGGGTTTCACCATGTTGGCCAGGCTGGTCTCAAACTCCTGACCTCAGATGATCCATCGGCCTCAGCTTCCCAAAGTGCTGGGATTACAGGCATGAGCCACTGCGCCTGGCCAGAACATTTTAACTTTTAGATCTTTTCATGCATAATATAAACTTAATGCATGTAGCAAGCCTATTTATTCATTTATGAATTTAATACATATTAATTGCCTACTATGTGCCAACATTGTTCTGGCTGCTTTGGAATATTTTAGTGAGCAAAATACACTAACATCCCTATACTTGCAGAGTTTATATATTCTAGTGGGATAGTTAAGACATACATACTCATGCCCATTTGACAGATCAAAAAATGAAGACTCATAAAAAAGTAGCTTGGAAAACAAGTTAACTAATAACAGATTTGGCACTGTGATTTAGAATTATTGCCCCAGACCTGGCCTGGAATGAATACACAAATTCATGGTTCTATCTTGAAATATATTCAGAGCCTCAGGAGGTAGAAAATTCTGTTCACACACAGTCCTTATTTAAGTCGGGCACAAGTCAGTCTAAGGACTGAAGCTGTGTGAGGAGGAAGAGCCACAAGGCTTTTATTTAAAGAATGCAGATTTATTAGGTTTGCTTCTAAGTCTGCATGTCACTTCACTTTCTTGGTGATTGCTGTGGGTTGAATTATCTTTCCCAAAGATACGTTGAAGTGCCCAGTAGTTCAGAATGTGACCTTATGTGGAAACAGGGTCTTTATATGGGTAATCAAGTTAAAATGAGAGCATTAGGGTGGGCCTAATCCAATATGACTGGTGTCTTTATAAAAAGGAGAAATTTGGACATGGAGACAGATATATATAGAGGGAAGATAATGTGAAAATGCAGAGAGAATGCCATCTACAAGCCAACGAATGCCTGATGCTACCAAAAGCCAGGAGACAGGTGTGGAACAGATTCTCCCTCAGTGCCCTCAGAAACAACCAGTCCTGCTGATATCTTGAGTTTGGATTTTTAGCCTCCAGAACTGTGAGACAATACATTTCTGTTGTTTCAGCCACCTGGTATGTAGTACCTTTTTAATGGCAGCCCCAGGAAATGAATGTAGAAATGATTACCACATTCAATTTCCCCTTTTCCACATAAGGTCACATTCAAAGACCCTGTTTCCACATAAGGTCACATTCTGAACTACTGGGCACTTCAACAGAGCATGTCAGTTTCTTTCATGTTCTTATAAAACGAAATCATCTTTTTATTTTTATGCCCCCTTGAGTTCTCCCACATTTCCCTAGTCACGGACACAGATTTGCTGAGGTTAGAGATGGAAGATAAACAGGTCTCAGGCAAGTATTATACAGACACAGACGGAGTGAATGTCTGCTCCAAACACCTCCCCTAGTTGGTCACTCACACACTCAGCATTTCATAGCTCTGGGCAACTGTCTATAAATGACGGAATACCCAGCTCCAGAGATAAAGGAGATCTGTTCTCTTACTGTTTATTGTTAAGTCTGAAATTTTCAAAAGTTGTAGCCATATGACTCATGCAGTTAACAAACCCACATAATGTGAGAGATACAAGGGAATAAAGCACTCTGACTCCATTTGTACCAAAAAAACCCTCCAAATTGACGATTTACAGAAGAAAAAAACATGAAGTTTTTTCCTAGTGCACTCCCTTTGAAATTCACAGAGAAAGAGCTTGTCTTGCATGCACTTAGACACCACCAGTCAAAATAAAGGATGAAATTGGGAGAAATTGGGATAATCTGAATTTCAGATGATTCTTTTAGTATCTATGGTAGTCAATTTATTTATCATTATAAGTCAGTGTCAAATTTAGGAATGAATAAGTGTGACCATTAAAAGAATGAAAAATATGCCAACCTGTTGGACCGAGTAAGCTTCTTGATTACAAGAAATCCCCAGTATATAGTATATAGTAAATGCTCATCGTAATGTTTGTTTCATTGTAATGAACTAAGAACTGATGAAAAAGTAAAATAGAGACCTTCTTACATACTTCAAAAAGGGAGCATGGACGTAAGGAGGAGAACGGGAGAGATGAGATGTACTAAACTTACTGTGCCTGTCTCATGGTAATTAGTTTGCATTATGATGAGTTTCACAGCACAGGGTGGTTTACAATAATCTCAATGTAAGTGAATGTTTACACTGACCATGCTGAGACGCCCCCAGGAGAGCACTTGAAAACTTCCAGTTACGTGGTGGTATCTGGCAGGCTCAGTTTTATTAATAAAACTTTCAAGTTACCGCATTTGAACTATAACATTTCATTCCCCTTGTGTATATGATAATTGCCACAAAACTGGTTTTGATACCTGCAGTATCAGTCTTTTCTACCACTTCACTCACCAAAGCATTTAAGGTCAATTTAAGGGTCTTAAGTTAATAAACTGTAGGCTTGCAATGGGCTCTTTTATTTAACACTTTGTTATTGAGAACTTGCTAGGTGAACTTGCTAGCTATTCTGTAGGTGCTACAGGGACACAAAGAAAATTGAAATAAGGAAATGGGTAATGTTTTATTCTGAACCAAGTTGTCTCTGGTGTACTTTCCTAGGAAGAGTTGACCTGGGGCTGGATGCAGAGACTCACATCTGTAATCTCAGCACCTTAAGAAGCCAAGGCCGGAGGATTGTTTGAGTCCCTGAGTTTCAGAACAGCCTGAGCAACAGAACGAGACTCCATCTTTACAAAAAAATTGTTTTTTAAAAAAGAGTTGACCTAGAGGTCTATTCAAAAGCTTGCCATGTCTTGGTGTCATCACTGTGGCACCATCTTTTTACTTGGTTTCCATCTTTTTTCTTTCTCAGAACATGATGGTTAAGAGTACAAATTTTGGAGCCAGACTGCCCAAATTCAAATCCCAGCTCTGTTGCCCACTAGCTCTATGACCTGAGAAACGCTCTTTAAACTCTTTATATTCTATTTCTTTGGGTGTTAAAGAGGCACAATAACAATACCTATGCCACGCAGTTTTGTAAACATTAAATGTGATAATATACATGAAGTGCTTAGAATAGTTTTAGGCAAATAATAAGCACTGCGTAAGAATTTGCTATAGTTATTACTCTCCTAGGTCACTAGACAATACACAAAAGGTGAAAGAAGATCAGCAATGAAGAACAGTATTAAAACAGAGTTACAGGGATCCCCAATGTCAATTAAAGGGAGAAGAAAAGTGACAGCTGTTGACAGATCTATTCTCATAATGAAGATTTCAGAAAAGAAGGTGTTTTCTAGCAAAATATGCTCTTCTTTTCCCAGGAAAAGGGGGGAAAGTGTTTGTATTATTTTAAATAGCAGGCTGTCGCTGAACGTGGTTCCACAGTTCAGCACTTGAGGCAGATGGTTAAAAGCCACATGCTTGCGGATTTTCCCACTTTTTCCACACTCACAGACTCACAACCACTTTTGGTGCCCGTGGTTTAACCTCTGTTTCTCTAACTCCTGTTTATGAGTCAAGCGGTTTCATGTCATCAGATTGATGGGGAAAGTGTGAACAAGGATAAGGATGTGGAAGGAGTTTCCGCACTGGGAAGCACCACAGTGTGCCAATGCTAAAAAGGAAAAAAAGAATTCAAAGTATTTGGGCTTTGAGGGATTGTATTTAGTTAACTTTGAAAGTTTGAATGCGATCAAAGTAGCTATCTGAATGTTTAAAAGACATTATTTACTGGAATATATATAAAAATCTGTGTTGAAACAGACTGAGGTGATGGTGCAGAGAAGCAGGGTGGGTCTGGGGTCAGAGACAAACAAGAAGATTGATAATCTCTCTCCCTTTCTCCTTGGAAAAAGCATAGGTCAAAGTTTACCAATGATGCCAACATCCTGTCTGGCCAAGACAAAGCTCAGTAATGAGGGCAGTGAGGACACTGTGAGCCATACAAAGCTGTTTGTTTCTGCTGGCATGCTAATGCAACAAGTTGCTGATGAAAGTGCCTGGAAAAAAAAAATCCTATTCCTTATTCTTTGCTCTTGCTTGACCCCAGTAATCTTAAATCTCAGAATTCCATAGAACCATAGCTAATCAAAACTCTGAAAGCCCTCAGAGATTTCCCTCCACCCCCAACTCATTTCAGAGACAAAGAAACAAAGCTTACAGGTTATTTGACTAACCACAAGCTACTGAAAGAGCTGGGTCTGGGATCCAGTTTTTCCGTCCAATGAGGAGCACTCTCCCATGTATACCTCACTGAATTTCAGTGGGCATCTTCTGGGAACTTCTTGGAAGAATATAATATTTTTAGCCTTTAAATGATCCACAAAGATGGTTGGAGCAATTCCAGGTTCAAAGACATAGTTCCTCCAAGAGGATGTGGGAGGTTCTTTCTCATTGACCCTATTATTGCTGTTACTAAAGAAAAATGACTGAACTTTCTTTGTCAGGAAGACTGATGAGCAAAGCAGGACTGAGGGAAACAGTGGCTTATGCGAGTTCTACGTTTAGAAAAATGTTCTTAACCTCCTTGTCAAAATCCTCTCAACATTTAAGTGAAATAATGGTTCTTTCAAAAAGTCCAATCTTCTCTTACTATAGTTAAAAAGTATTTCGCTCATTTCGTCTTCTTCTTAACCTGGCTCAATTTCCCCTTTTGCTTAATTAGTCTAATGTTTCCATCCATTTCCCTTACAAACCATGGTTTCTGGACTTCTAATTGTTTTAAATGGTTTCCATTGTAACCTTTCCAGTATATCCACATCTTTCTTAAATTGTGTTACTCGTAACCAGACATAAAATTCCATTTGAAGAGTTCCGAGGAAGGTGGTAAGGGAGTTATTCATGTACATTACACAGCATACAAATGAAAACAGAATACATTTGGCAATTTTCTACTTATGAGTCAGGGCTGTTTTGGAACTTCTGTTCAACTCAGTTCTGAACTGATTCTGTAATTTTCCTCCTCACAGCTCAAATACTATTAATGAATTCATTCAATCGTCTACTTGCTAATACCTTAATTTAAAAAAATTCGAGGGAACTTTATGATAGTGATAACATTTGCAAAGGGATTCAAAATTCAATAGATGAAAGACTGAGATAATTATTTGCAAACCTTAGATAATAATACAATTGGACATAAAATTTGCCTCCTAATTTCCTGGAAACAAGGCAACAAGGGAAAATTTTCTATTTTAAGAAATTTTAAAGATAATTTTGCTTCTGAAGAACAAACAAAATAAAAGTATCTCTGCTCATAGGTCTTTGCTTGAATTTCTCAGCCAGTGATTCAACACTTAAGTTCTTCTCCTCAATGCCTATGGGATCCTTGAAGATAGGCATCATTTCTTGTAACATAGTTGTGACTTGATTAACGCATGTTGAATGAATGATTTCCCAGAAATCCTTTATTAGGTTTTCACATTGCCCTAAAACATTGACTATATTAATGTGTTTACGCTGTTTTGACTTCTTAGAATTGAGTGTTAGACATTCTCGGTTCACCAAGTGGGTTTTGACTATATTTGTATATTTTTCAATTTTATTTAGTAAAGGGGTCAGTAAAGACACTTGCTTTGGGTAACTGATCTATAGGTCACACATAACTCTACCCTGAGCTGCACCACATCTTCCATAATAGGTGAGACTCAGGATGGAGCAGAACAAGGCTACTGGGCAGCCCCAGAGATGAGGAGATGACATTTTATTTATTACTGCTATATGCATCTGAAGAGCAAAGAACTAGACTGATTAGAAGACTTAAGGTCAATTTATCATTTTAAAAATAAAGCGAGATTTTAAACATTTATGTAAAATGAACATATGGATTTTTAAGTATTTTTTCATATTAGGATTATTAAGGGTGTTTGAAGTTTTCTCTTGGATATCAAAGTTTTTGTAAAGGGCATATTGCCTTGGCCTATAAAACAAAGCCATTAAACATCAAGATTCTTTTTAATGAACAAATAGTATGCAGTAATAAATAAAATGTTTTAAAAGATGTAACCAGACAGGCTGCTCAAAAGCAAAGTAAACAGTTTAGTAGATAAGAAATAGAACTGAAATATAAGCAGTAAGTATTGTGGAAGCAACAGTTCTGGAGATCTTCATGCCCAATAATAGGCATAGTAACTGAGTCTTGTTTCCTCAAAGGAAACCAATACTAAAAGTTTTCCATGCATGGTAGGGCACTAGATCTAGCCTTACTTCTTGGAGTCAGTAGCCAGAGAAAGGCCCCCTATATGTAAAGGTAGAATTTGAAAACAGTTGTCAACTTATTGCTTGAAGCTGTGGCTTTAAAAGCTGTTGTAGGTCTAGAATACAGAAATACTAAGACATAGGCTCATGACCAGGAACTAAGCCAACGAGCTCCATGAATGTATTTGGAATAGTTCAATGTCACTGCTGAACAGGAACCCCTAAACATCGTTATAAAACCTGGTTCTAGACAGGGAGCCCAAAAGGTTTGCCACACATACACAGAATATGGGAAAGCTGCTAAGATGAGAGGAAAGAAAGAGAATTTTAACAAGAAAAAGAAAGAAAGGAAGAAAAGACAGACCAAAAAAAATTCTCATTGAAAATGATTTTGCAAATTAAAAATCTGAAATCTAACACTAATAAAACCAATGAGATGATAAAGGGAAGCGGTAAAGAGATATTGACTGAGAATTATCCTACGCTGAAGAAACGTAATCTTCAAATTGAAAGAGTGTTCCTGGTGCTGAGAGGAAACATTTAAAATAAACTCACGCCAACACACATTTTTGTGAAACTACAGAATATGAGCTACAAAGATAAAATTGTAAATGCTACCAGAGAGAGAAGACTGACAAAAGAAGAATGACTGAGAGTGTTGGCAGAAAGAAAAAGAAGGAAGGAAGGAAGGAAGGAAGGGAGGGAGGGAGAGAGAGAGAGAGAGAGAGAGAGAGAGAGAGAGAGAGAGAGAGAGAGAAAGAAAGAAAGAAAGAAAGAAAGAAAGAAAGAAAGAAAGAGAAAGAAAGAAAGAAGGGAGGGAGGGAGGGGAGGGAGGAAGGAAGGAAGGGATGAAGGAGGAAGGAAAGAAGGTGAAAGAAAGAAAAAGAAGAAAGAAAGAGAGAAAGAAAAAGGAAGGAAGGAAGGAAGGAAAAAGAAAGAAAGAAAGAAAGAAAGAAAAAAGAAAGAAAGGAAAGAAAGAAAGAAAGAAGGAAAGAAAGAAAGGAGGGAGGGGAGGGAGGGAGGGAGGAAGGAAGGGAGGAAGGGAGAAAGGAAAGAAGGAGAAAGAAAGAGAAAGAAAAAGAAAGGAAGGAAGGAAGGAAGAGGGGAAGGGAAAGGAAGGAAGCTGGAAATAAATAAGGGCTTAAATTAAGAAATTGTAAAAAAAGAAGCACAACTTAACTATGAAAACTAGATGGAAAGAAATAAAGGCAGATATTAGATGAATTAGAAAACAAGATACAGTAGGTAAGATCAATAAAAATCAACAAATGGTTATGTGAAAACATTGATAAATAAAACTAAACAGTACTACAGATAAAAAAGAAAAGAAAGTCATAAATAAATGATACTAGGACCACAAAAGAATGTTATCTAAAAATAATTTGAGATTTTAAAAATAACAAATTATTATTAACAACTCTGTCAATAAATTTGCAGTTGCAGTTTATGTGAATATTATTAAATTAGTCATTAAGTAAATCAAAACAATAATCAAAAGTCTCCCCCCTTCAAATATAATAGGTTCAGATCAATTTACAGGTGAATATTACCAAGCTATCATAAAATTAATAATTTCTATCCTGTATACTTTCAAATTCAGAAAAAAAGGAAAGTGACAGTTAAGGGATAGAAGAAAACCAAAATAACTTCCCTAGTCTTACACACCACTCAACACATTTCTGACACTAGATTCTCTGGTGTCAATTCAATCCTCACTCTATCTGGAGATAGTGTCAGATCCCACAAGTTCAGGGCTTGGTCCCACAAGACTGTCCCCCACTTCAGATGCCAATTGCAAGTCTTAGGTTGTGACCTGTACTTCTGACTGACCAGCTATGACTTGAGGCTTTCATGATTCCTTCCTTAGTTTGACTAATTTGCTAGAGTGGCTCATAAAACTCAGGGAAACATTTTACTTATATTTACCCACTTATTACAAAGAATATTTCAAAGGATACAGATAAACAGCCAGATGAAGAGATGCATTTGGCAATGTATGGGAGAAGGGACGTGGAGCTTCCATGCCCTCTTCAGGCACACCACCCTCCAGGAAACTTCATGTGTTTAGCCACCCAGAAATTCTACAAACTCAATCATTTTGGATTTTTATGGAAGCTTTATTACATATGCATGATTGATTAAACCATTGGCCATTGGTGATCAACTCAACCTTCATCCTCTCTTCCCTCCCTAGAGTTAATCGGGCAGTGAAGAGAGGCTGATGGTTGAGTTGATCACCAATGGCCAATGGTATCTGGTTCCTCTGGCAACCAGACTCTACCCTGATGCTGTCCAGGAGTCCCCAACCATCAGTCATCTTGTTAGCATACAAAAAGACACCTACTTATCACTTAAGAGATTCCAAGTGTTTTAGGAGCTGTACTCCAGGAAACAGGGATGAAGGCCAAATACAGTATATATTTTATAATAGCACAGGTATATATAGCATTTTATATTATTAATATGATTTTGATATGAAAATTAGAAAAGGAAAGTAGAAGAAAATAAAATTATAGATCTATTTCATTTACAATATATCTGCAAAAATTTCAAATAAAATATTAGTAAGTAGAATTCATCAGAGAATATAAAAACATCACATCATATCCTAATAGTGTTATTCGCAGAAATCCAGGATGGTCAAACATCAACAAATCTATTAATGAAATAAACCACAATTTCAAATTAGGAAAGGGAAAAAAAATTATACCTTCAATAAGTCAAACATGATATTTCAATAAACATGTGTAATAGAAGCACTTAACCCACTTAGTATAGAAATAAATTCTCATCTGATAAAACTCTCATCTGTCTATTAAAGATCTGCAATGAAAACTATATTTAATGTTGAAATTTTGGAGCATTCACATAAAATGAGAAACAAAATAGGATGTTCTATGTCATCACTTATATTCAACATTCTACTGCAGATCTTAACCATGCAGGAAGATTTTTAAAAAGCCATAAAATGAATAAAAATTAGAAATGAAAAGTCAAGATATATTTATTTGTAGCTACAATGATTTTCTGTGTAGTATATACAAGACAATCCACAAATGAATTTTTAAGAACTAATAAAAGAATTCCACACTACTACTCATTAAAAGGTAAACAACCAAAATGGAAAAATTCAATGGGAAAATACATTTCATTCACAATTGCAACAAAAACTTAAGATACCTAAACATAAATAATGAGAAACATACAAGACCTTTATAGGAAAAAAATGTAACAACATTACTAAAGAAAGTAAAAAGAGGCCAGGTGTGGTGGTTCATGCTTGTAATCCCAGCACTTTGGGTGAGGCTGAGGTGGGCGTATCACTTGAGCCCAGGAGTTTGAGACCAGCCTGAGCAATATGAGAAAAAATCATCTCTATAAAAATACAAAAATTATCTGGGTGTGGTGGTGTGCACCTATAGTTCCAGCTACTTGGGAAGCTAAGGTGGGAGAATTGCTTGAGCCCAGGAGACGGAGGTTGCAGTGAGCTGAGATCACACCTCTTTACTCCAGCCTGAGCGACAGAGCAAGACCCTGCCTCAAAAAAAACGGAAGAAATGAAGAAATAGACACATGTAATATTTCCATGAATGGGAAAACTCAGGATTGTAAAGATGTAATTTTGACATTTTCAATTAAGAACCAAAGGACAGGATTTACCCTAAAATCCACACTCGGTATAAACAACAGTATGAAAACATGCTATCAGCCCAAGTACAGACAGACAGTTGGATCAGAATAAAATTCCCAGAAAAAGACACACATAAAAAATGATTTTGGATAAGAAAAAAAATAGCACTCCAGGTTCTCCAATCTCAGATTCTCTATAACATGAATAAAATGTCAAAATTCATGGTTTGACAAACAGAAGAAATCTAGCTTCTTGATTTCTTTGGAGGACCTCAGAGAAATAAGAACCTCTTTCCTGTTCTACTCAAGCTTAACTTCTCTGAATTATTTTGACACCAGTAAGTACCTCTCTGTTTGAAACCTTCTCTTTTCCTTTGACTTCCATGGCACTGTATGTTCCTGGTTTCTAGTTCCAGGAGTATGAAGGAGTGAAGGATGTGCCATCCCCAAATATGCTGAATTGGTATATTCATTATTTTTAGTTGAAAACACTGGAGAAATTAATTTCAAAAACAACTAGTTATCTGTCTCTTGCATGCAGCAAGCCATAAAGATTTTCTGGAAGTACTAACATCTCTGAACCAAGGTGAGAAATCCCTTCTCACCAGAGACTGGGAATTGGAGGCAGCAATGGATCTGAGTAGATAAACTGTCTGAAGGAACCCATATCTTCCACTAGTTTTACACTCCCCCGTGTATCTCCTAGTGACTCCCGTAGAAATTTACTGCCCCTAGGCAGATCCCTCTTCTTCTGTCGTTCCTTCTCAAATTCTTCATCCTTTGTCAAACAATTATGAAAATATCTTTATAGCAGCATGATTTATAGTGCATATTCTCACTCATAGGTGGGAATTGGACAATGAGAACACATGGACACAGGAAGGGGAACATCACACTCTGGGGACTGTTGTGGGGTGGGGGGAGGGGGGAGGGATAGCATTGGGAGATATACCTAATGCTAGATGACGAGTTAGTGGGTGCAGCGCACAAGCATGGCACATGTATACATGTGTAACTAACCTGCACATTGTGCACATGTACCCTAAAACTTGAAGTATAATAATAATAATAAAAAAAAAGAAAGAAAGAATAAAACTTTAAAAAAAAAAAGAAAACATCTTGCTTGGTCACTTTGGATTTCACTGTTTTGTGAAAATGCTCATGTTCATATAAAAATGATAAAATTTGTATGCTTTTCTTTTGTTAATCTGCCTTATGTCAATGTGGTTTCTAGATCCAGCCACAGAGCCCACATAAGACCTTGTGGAGGCACAGAAATTGGAGATGACGTCTTCCTCCCATAAACCTTCTTGACTTCTTTCACTGGCTACTTTTGATCAACTACCTTCTCAAAATAAGTACTTCTCAGCACTCTAGCATCAACTCAGAGGTACAAAATGAGTGATGTCGCTATAATAAAAATCATTCATTTGCTTTTTTTTATCAGAACAATATTTATCAGCATTTATGGGTACAATAATAAACATAAATAGGAATAGAAGTGATACTGAACAGTGCTCATGTCAGCATACATAATGACTAGACACAGGACTTACTGGAAAAACAGAAAGCCCTTCCTATCTCAAATAAAAATGCATTTCCCAACAAATTTGACTTTAGTATTTAATAATATTTTTCCAAAATTTGTACAATATTTTTAGTTTGATGAATTGTATAGGAATAATAATTGTTATAACTCCATCCAAAAGAAACTATTTTGAATTTATTTTGAAATGTTTTGAAAATATTTTGTATTTTAATCAGATAAAAATCTTTAAAATAGATTTATATTTTTTTGGTTGCAGAGGAATATTTTTAGGGTGCGAAATAAAGTAATTTCAATCCTAGAAATATATTACATTGGAAAACAATTATTGTGGGAAAGAATAGAAATATAATTTCAAGAAAAAACATCTCCACTATTGAGAAGCAGCTTATACATTAAAAAAGAAAATAATTAACGGACGATAGTGTTTATCAACCTACTGTGACATTTCAATTCTATTTGCTTTATTTAAAAGAGGTCTAAAACATCAATGTTATAAACTATCATAAACAACATTCTTTGAAACTATTTAAACTTATGCTGAAATTTTTTAGATGTCAACTTGAAAATGTGCCAGAGGGCACATGGTTTTTCAAATTTCCTGGAATTTTTTAGGGAGTACATGGGGAAAATGCTTTGAGGACCACTGCTTTAGCGCACATGCCCAACCTACTATGAGTATACCTAGTCTTAAAATGCATCCTTAGTAGTTTAAAATCTGTATTATAAAGGTTTGTTACATTATAATTTTAAGTTCTTTCCAACGTGGATTTAAATTATTCTCTTGAAGCCAAAAAAATATGCACATCATATTTCTCCTGTAATTAATTCCAGCTTCCCATATTTTATTCCCCTTTTAAGTGTATATTCATATTTGAAATTGCAAGACTGCACTTTTGTAGAAAACAGGTATGTCCATCAAAACACACCCTTGTAAGCTCTGTCTGTGTGAGGATTCATAATGAGCAAATGCTGGTTCATCAACTACAGTATCTCAGCTTCTGGTTTCTGCAGCCTCAACCAGTTCTTCATGTTATTCCTCATGAAGTCTTTTCCCTTGCTCTCAGGCAGAGTCGGTCAGAGTTGGTCACTTCCTCCAAGGGGCTTCCACAGTACATGAACCCCTCCTCCATTACACTCAGGTCAGTGAATTGAAATCACTGTAACTGTGAGTTGAAAGTCAGTTGGAAACCTAAATTGGAGGAAAGAGCCTGAGAGGCAAAGGCAACATTCCTGGACACAACACGACAAAGAGTGGCTGTAACATAGCCTCAGTTGAGCAGGCCGTGGAATGGTCACACCAGACTTTTCCCTTTGCGATAAAATCTAGAGAGAGGTTGAAGCTAAGAGAGAAGAGTAATGAGGTACAAGGAATAGGAGCTGAACAAAGTAAAGGGTCAGTCGTTTTCCATCCAGGGCAATCCCACAGATGCTGGAGCGGCCATTAGCATACTTCATCTTGTAAAGCTCTGTTTATTTACTCAGACCTGGCACCTTTCAATGCTTGCCGAGGCCGAAGCCTGGTTTAGAAAGGCAAACGCATAGAGAAACTTTCCATCTTGTTACACTTCCCATCGTAAGACTGACATTTTCTGTTCTGTTTGCTATGGGCTGGTGGGCAGCTTTAATTTGGTTTTCCCTCCAGTTCTCAAGTCTCAATCTTTGCCAAATCAAGAAGCAGGCAGGAAGGGGAAAAAGAGGGGAAATACATATGCACTTGCATTCCCCAAGTCATCTCAGAAGTAACTTAATACTGATTCAGGTCATCCATGTCTTACAAATCAGTTTTATTCTGTGGATTGTTTACACACCACTTCTAGTATGTCTCTAATAAATTAAAATTTGCTGAAGTGGTAAAATATACTGAAGATATAGTAAATGGTCTACAGGCTACACAGAGAGGCCATTATTCTTTGAGGAAGTAGGAAAAGCAATCATAAAATTTTGAAAAATGATGCAATAACTTTGTACTTATTGCCCATCTATATTCATTACAATGATCTACTTCATAGACACATAAATAGAATGAGAAAGTAACAGATCTGCTGTGTGTTCTAGACTTCAGTCAATGAAATTCAATTAGAGTCTTCAATAAATAAAACCTCCACAAATGTCAAGCATTTGTCTGCATATTTCTTTATGCTGTCCTGAAGTTATGCATTTAGTTTCTTTCCAGTTCTTGACCTTTTTGTTTTCTTTTCAGAAAGTCTCTTTGTAGAGAGATGAGAAGATATCATGCTTGGGTTTGCTGAGGGGTGGGGGTGCTTGGTGGCATTATTCTTGAGGGGCATTAAACTCTATATTACACCCTCCATAAGCACTTGGTTGAGCTCTAGTGGGACAACATCATGCTGAATGTTTTCTAAAAAAAAAAAGGACCACACAGATAAGACCATAAAATTGCCAGGGACTCAGAACAGGTTTTACGACACGCACGCTGATCAAAAGGGCTTAACCAAGATGGTTTTTAATCATATTTGGGCATTGGAGAGTTCTCAGGTTCAAAGAAATGGTTCTGTGTTTTGTTTTGTTTTGTTTTGTTTTGTTTTGGCAAAGCTCTCTTTTCTTCAATAACCTCAGAAAAACAACGCCAACATAGTAAGGCTGTGCTCAATTTTGTTTCTGTGTTCAAGCAAAATATACCACCTTGAGGAGGTCTTTTACTTACAATCAGATCTGTATATTTTTAAGAATATTTTGAATTGGACATGCTCATTTGAACATTCACCCTTTTGAAACTAAGCCACTTTAAATTGTGCTGGGAATCATACAAATGAACTGTTGTGAGAAAAGAATGTTCTAGCTGTGTCTGTTATTATTTTGCAAAGCTTGATGTCAAATATTTAGCATCACTTTTTAAAAATTCAAAATACAAAGTATTAGGTATAATGTGAAGTGACATTGTAGCCTAGAGCAAGATAGGAAATTAACCACCTTTGCAACCCAGGGCTCAAAATGTGAAGAAAGATCCTAGGTTAGACAAACTAGTCCCATTTGATACACAACTGCTCTCTTTTCTCCTCCTCCTCCTCCTCTTCTTCTCCTTTCCCTTCTCTTTTTCTTTGTTCTTCTCCCCACCCCCCTTCCCCAATTCCTCCTCTCCACCTCCCTTCCCCATTTCTTGCAGGTCAGAAACACATGTGAACTTTGGAAACAGCATGATTCCCGGTAGAGTGGGTGTAGGATGACTTTGCTATAGAAAGATAATTTCCCTTTGTTTACCTACAGAAGTACTGACATCTCAGAAAATATCTTGCCAAGCATTTCTTCTAAGAGTTCGCCAAATCTTAAAGGAAGACAGAAGGAAAGGAAGAACAAATCTCTGCTTTTGGAATACATCTTTCCTCTTTTTTTGCAGAAAAATAATGAGTGTATAAAAATAGTAAAAATATGTTAGGCAGTTGGAGTTGCAAGAACATCAGTTAATCACATAAACCACAATGCAGGTGGAAAAACTCTAGCTGGAAAATGCTATTTAGTAATGACTGAGGGTCAGAAAGAATCACAAACATCCCAGAATCTGTGTCCTTAGCTTGCCTCAGATTATGAAGCGGGTGGGGAGGTAATGGGACTAGACAGACTTTGTGCTACCAGCTTTAAGCAGCAGCTTCCTTGTGTTGTTTCTACGTCATAGCCCTCCTAGCTCTCACCCTCCCTGTTCCCAGTTCACTATATAATCTGCAGGATTATGTTCTACAAACACTATTTTGAAAGTTTCCTCTTTTTCTTTATTCAAATTCTTCCTCGAGACTTCCCTCTTCCCAAGACTAGCTATCAGAGTTTGGGTAAAGTAAAGCAAAACAAAGCTAAACAAAAAACAGCCATCCAGAGCCTACTGAAAATCTATCAATCTAGGAAAGGGGTCAAGACTCCTACTCCTTCCTTAATTGGCTTTGTGGCTAAATGCTGGGCAGAAATCTCTAAACAGCAATTAGGAATGCATACTGTATTTCCTCTCCCAAGAAACCTTTGAAGAGGAGTGAGGAAGAACTATCCAAGAAAGGAGGCTCAGAACTCTTATGAAAATGAGAGAGATATGAGTGGGGAGTGTTTGGGAGGTGGTAAACATAGCAAATGCAAACCAGGAAGAGAAGGCAGCAGGGCTTGGATGAGCTTCATGGGCTCCAGCTTAAGTAGATGAAGTTTTGAGTGTCAGTGGGACATGCATGTGGAGATGCCTACAGCCCTTGGGCCATAGGATATGTTTAATGTGCTCAAGTCAAAATTCAAAAGTCTCTAGGTTTATCACATAAAAACACATTTGAGGAAAACACAATAATATTCCATATATTTATTCACCAAAATGTTGCCTGACTCCTTTGAAGTCATTTTAACTAGCGTGTGTCTGCAATGAGCTCTGTTCTACTTCTGTAAGGATCCCACAGAGTGACTCCAATGACCTCATTCAAACTAATAAGCTTCACTTTCTTCCTCCCTTAAATCCACCTCCCTTTGCCTCTTAAACATCATGGAAAGGGAATGTGACATTTTAGAAGGTGTCATGCCGACAGCCTCACAAACTGAGGCTCATTTCACCAAAAAGGAGAGCTTGTGCTATAGCCAGTACATTTTCTCGCTCCAGTGTCCTCCACAAAGTAATTAACACAGCCAGGTTGGGACCATAGAATAATTCAGACATTCATGCCAGTAACATACAACTTGCATTGTAAGTATTATTTCTTCTTTAAGTCTCTGTCCATGAGGTTTTTGAGGGCAAGGTCATTATCTTACTCATCTTTGAGGAATATAACCGTATTGACTATGTAAAGGACAGTTAGAACATAATAGGTTCTCATTAATTGTTTAGTTGATAGATAAAAATTATTTGGTTCCTGAAAACAAACGTATAGCAATGGGAAACTTCAGAGTAGAAATGTTTGATTAGGCGCAGGTAACTTTTTTTCCCCTGAAAAAGAAAGTATATAATAGGGAACTCCAGTCTCTGCCTCCGGTACTTGAACTCCTGGAGTTCTTTTTGTACAAAGCTGTCACCATTATTTAGCTACTCAGTTAACACCCTCACAAAGCAAGTAAACACTCATGGTTCTCCTTTACCCACATTTTTAATCAGATAGATCCTCAGGCATTAGATGCAGGTTTTTGTCCTGACAGCCTTTGGAACAAGCCAAATCAAAAGCATGTATGTAATATTGTAGCAAAAGTTTCTGTATCATATTAATTCTTTTTCTGTCTTTTATGTTGTAACTATTTCTCTATTGCTACATTTTTGTGACAAACAGTATTTTCTTCAACTTCATTGCTCTTTATGTGGTTTTTGTTTTAGCGTTCTGTTTAGAAAGATTGTGAATGCTGTAAGTGTATATACCTGTTCACTTAGGACTCTTCTATTGTTTTTGTTATTTCACATCTTCCATTTAATTTCTTTGGACCTCAATTTGTTGAGTGGTATATGGGAAAATAAAATTTTATATGTTTTTCCCAAACAATTATCCAGTTGTTCTAAAACTACATATTAAAGAATCCAATCTTTATCATGTACTAAATTTCTTTCTATATTTGATTCTACTTCTGAAAATTGTATTGCATTATAATGAGTTTCTATAAAAGCAGGCAAATTCTCTTATAATTTTTTGGCATATCTAGAAAGTACAACAATGCCTAATACTCAGTAATTGAATCAATGGATAAATTTTCCACTTCATTTAATCAATCTCTCGGGCTTGTTAATCCCACTGTATAAATATCTCTTGAAGAATTCCTTTTCCTTTTATTAGTACATTGCCTGCCCTCATACAGGCCCTAATAATTATGGACTTTTAAAGTACTTTTTACATACAAATGGAATAAGGTTCAAAAATGTAAATCTGATCAAGTACCTTCCCCAGTCGAAATTTGTAAATGACTACTCATTTCATCTTCCATACCTGAGGACTACCAAAGCCCTCAGTTCAACCAAATGAAACTATTATTCTTTTTCAAATATTTCATATTCAAATATGCCTTGCTAGTTTTTTGTTTATTTGTTTCTTAATCCTTGCCTTTGTAAAACTCGAACAGCTTGGTAATAAATGTGTGGACAAAGTGGATTAGTATATAAAGAGGGGATTCATGGTTATAGAAAGATAAGTGAGTTTGGGCCAGGATGAACAAAAACATGAAGGTATGGAATAACTCTCATGCTCTCCCAGAACCACAGGCTGTTGAGAATGACTAGTGTGCAGGTGAAAGTGAAGACATAAACATCCAGGGTGTGAAAGGCCTTGTGTGTCATGCTAAGAACTTTGTTTTTCCTACAGGAGAGTAGAGCCAATGAAGTGTTTTAAATGGGGAAGAAGCTTGGTTACAATTTTTCTGCAGGATAGATTGACAGAAAGTGCATTCAAAGCCAGGAACCTGCTTAACAATAGATTCTCCAATAGTATAGGTGACATATGATAAGGCCTTGAGCCAGGATAATAGTATTGAGAATCAGAAGAAGGGATGCATATGATGTTATAAAAGAAATTCTGCAAGATTTTGTGACTGATTAGGCATAAAGGTGAATAAAAGGAAGAACTAGTGATTGATCCCCACCCTCAAATCTTCTATCAGCCGCCATTTCTGGCTTGACTAATTGGATAGATGGTAATGTTCTTTACTAAAATAGGAAATACAGGAGGAAGATCTGTTTAGGAGATTTTAGGGTTGGTGGAGGAGAAAGGAGAGACAATATACTCTATCCTCGACATATGAAGAGTTTCCAGAAGGAAGGAGTTGTCAAGAGTGTGGAATGCATCAGGAAAGACCAGTCAGATGTAGACTGCAAAGTGCCTATTTGGATTGAACAGTTAGAAGATTTTGGTGTTCTTCCTGGAAGTTGGGAAGGAAGAAAGTAGAGATTGTCAGTGCAAAGTTCTCCGGAAACAAGTGTAGCTGTGAAAGGTAGTAGATGAGTAGAACAGTGGCTAAAGGAGGCACCTGCCCTACACCTTTTATTTTACCATGGAATTCATGGGAGTTCATATTGTCTCCTAAACTGGAGTGCAACTTTTCTGAGGCCAGATACTATGTAGTGGTTTCCTGGATGAACTGAGTGGTCACTTGGTTCTCGAAGCCCTAAAATTTTACTAGTTTCTAATCCTCCACAGTGTCTATAATTATCCTGGTACTTAGGCAGTAGCATTCAATTAAATAGCTGTTGAACTGAATACCATGGATGGGTGACTCACAACACTAAACTGCATTATTCAAGATGTCAGTGCCTCAATTTCCTCTTCATCAACAGCAATTACGACTGGCGTTCTTTTCATAGTAAATTGAACATGGAAACATTGTCCTTGCTGTCAAGAAACATTCACATTCATCTACTTAATGAAAAAGCCAGTCTACCTTTCTTCCTAGAAATATTATGAGGAGTAGCTCATATACGAGGGCTAGCGCAGGAATAGGGCACTGGAGACAGCCAATACACAAAATCTCCCTTCATGTGTTATGCACTCTGGGTAGGTATGACCACGAGTCAGCTAACCACACAAGATGCTTTTAGGTCTGGCAAGTGGGATGGAAAGCTCACTGCATCAGTCTCTTCTGTGAGTGCCTGCACGCTTTCTGGTTTCAGGCTGGAAACGTCCTGTGGTGTGTCTGGCCTGGCCAAACCCAGGAAGTACTGAACTTATTAAAATTTAAAAACAAACCAAAGTTGTTTGGAACCTACAAAACATTCACGTTGCATCTGAGGGTGAAGGCTTGGATTCATTTCTGATTTGACATGAGCACCATACATCAGGAAAACACAAACAGTGCAGGGTAATTTCATGAAAGGGCTATACCCTTGTATTCAGTCTTATGACAGTCTCCAAAGGCAGCTCCTGTGCAGAGCCTAGAGGAATTTCGTGAAGCCCTACCTCTTCTTTCAATTCCTTTTTATTAGGTTGCCATAGAAATTTGTAGTTGTGAACAAACTTTTAGGCAGTTTTGACATGGACATTCTGAAGCAGAGCTGGGGGTATCTTGCTTGGGCTCCACCAGCCTATGGAGGCGGATTTAGTTCTGGCCCTGTATTTGGATGGATCTGGCCTATGGTGGGCCCCTGGGCAGTCCCCAATCCAACCTGTTTCTTATAAAGATCTGGATCACCCATGGACAATCCACGAACCTCTGAGAATGGGTAATCAGGAGTTGGCTAAATCAAGCTGATGACCAAAAATGAACCTAGTAGTCAGGAACGAAGCTTCTGGAACAACCCACAGGGTGTGATTATGCTATAAATTAAATTTAGGTCATAGAAAAGAATTATAGAATTATTGAGACCTGGAAGTAACCAAGCAAGTATGAAACTCCACTCCCCTATTTTTTTTGCATAAGGGAAGTGAGGCACAGAGATTTTTACATGAGTTATCCAAAGTCAACAGCAGTTACTGGTGCAGCCAGAACAAAGAACCGTGAGCTGAACTCCTTGCTCTTTTTCAGTCAATGTGCATGTGCACACACACACACACACACACACACACAACTTCTACACAAGTTATTTTTAAAATAATTTAGAGTTCTGTAGAGATGTACAGAAATAAGCTCTTTAGTATATAAAAGTTCATTTAAGTGAATTGTCTCTTTTCCCTAATCCTGACACACTCACTTGTATATAGTTTGGAAGTTATAAGAGGTAGATAAATTAATTTACATAATGTTATAATGGCATTTTAAGGAGGAAAGGATTGGGAATGCCTGTCTTTTAAGCTCAAAGTAGTTAAACAATGTCACTTGACCTGAGGTAGCCCAGAATAAGGTCAATCAGGAAAAGGGATGAAGTCACTGAGACAGAATTCACCTGAGAATCTTCCACAATGCTGTATGATAGATAGGCCTCGCATCCTTGCACTGAGAAGAAAACAGCTTCTCTGACCCAGGCATGTTAGGACTGACTTGTGCTGGGGAAGTAGCTGTGCTTGTGAATCCATAGAGCCCAGGACAATTTTGATTCAGAATACCTTATCCTGGTGTACCACAAAGAATTGCTACATTTTGAGCAGTGGCCCATTTCAGTAACAGCAGCACCGACCTGAGCAAGAGACTGCTACCAAACCACATTTCCAAGGGGAGCCAAGGTTAGGAGAGCTACCACACAAAATTGTGACTTTAGTATTCACAGCTATAGCAAGTGGATGCCAGGGACTTTCTGAGCTTGTGGTTGCAGAAATAGGACTGCTAGGATTTCGGAGGAGGCAACAGCAAGCTTTGGCTTTATCAATGGTACTAGCGACAAAATGGGAGATGAAGGATGTCTCTTTAGATTGTTAGTTTTAGTGGTATCTTCAGTCTCTGGCTTTAGTGACAACAATTGTAGGGGGGTGAGGCGTCTCAAGCAACTAGTCTGGGCAGTGAATATGGGGTCCTTCAGCCTCATCTTCCTTGCATCTCATCTGATGAAGGGCCAGCAATCAGGGCTAGCTCTTTGAACATGAGTAAGCACCCAAGGAGATTCTTGGGTATCAGGGGAAAGAGGGTGGAAAGAAGACTGGACTTCTTGGGACACCACTGCCCAATGGCACTGTGTGTACTCCTGGCTGTTAAGGCAGGTTGTACCAGTTTAAAAATTTTCCTTAAGCCCATGATATTTAAATTCAACAACTTCTTATTTCTTCTAATTTAAAGCCTGAGTAATGTGTCTTTTTCTTTCTTTCTTTCTTTCTTTCTTTCTTTCTTTCTTTCTTTCTTTCTTTCTTTCTTTCTTTCCTTCTTTCTTTCTATTTCTTTCTTTTTCTTCTTTCTTTTTCTCTTTCTTTGTCTTTCTTTCTTTCTTTCTTTCTCTCTTTCTTTCTTTCTTTCTTTCTTTCTCTCTTTCACTTTCTTATAAATGGTTTCAGTGTACTTCAACAATCCCAAAAATCTTTCTTCTTCCTGCATTTGGCGCTGTCTCTTTTAGTAAAGGAAATTCTTCCTTAAAGTGATTCAAACATTCAGTACAGTTCCCAGCTCCTTGAATTCACAAATGGAACATAATGTGCTTTCCAGGGCCACTTTCCAAAGAGAACCTTGCGGTGGACCTTATACAAATTCTCCCCAAGATGAAGGAAGCCTTTTACTCACAGCTGTTTTTTCCCTTGTCACTGATAGGCAATTTCTCTTTATTAACATTAGTTTTCATACAAGTTTTTTAGGCCTTAATAAAGGAAAAGCATATATTTTCAAGCCTCTGCTCTTCCAGTCTTGAGCATTTACATCACATGTAATCTACTCTGTGAAGCCTTTTCCAGAAACCTCATTTATCAGCCAAAATAATTTATTCCCCCCACTTTTCCCCATGGTATTTTATTCTTGCTATCAGACACAATAACAGTTTAGGTGTATCTCTTTCTCCCACACAATCAGCTGTCATATAGTAGATGTCTCAAAAAAATCTTGTTGAATTTATCAAATGTGCATAATATCTAAAAATATAGAATTAATTTTAAATTTCAAGGATCATATAATTGGTCAGGAGTCTCTGCCTTGAAGAACCAGTAAATTATTGAGAATGTAAGGATTTGCGGAATGTGGAGCCAGATGTGTCAACTTTATGGCTTCCTACCTGTGGAACTGGGAAAATCATCATTGTCACATTGAGAGTTATTTTCCTACCTTAAAAATGATAATAGCATATGTCTCACCTGTCACTTAGGGTATCTGTGGCAGGTGAGATTAAAAACATATTGTAATATATATGAAGGCATGTTGTAAATAGTAACATACCATTTAAAATTATTAGAATCATTTTATTTTTTCATATATTTTTGTAACTCTACAGGTAACCACTTTATTATTTCAGTCTTTAAAATGCAGAAAGGCTAAAGGCCAAAAGAGGAAATGCAAATGTGTATATTTTTACCCATTTGATGCTAATATGTTATCCTCTATGAAAAAAGTATTTGATTTAAAATAATAATATTATAAACTTTTAATAAATGCTTTGCAATCTATTGGCAATATTTCACAGCTTTTGTCATAGCTCAGCTATTGTCTGAAAGTTGCCACGTGGGAATTTGTTCTTTTAAATTTGAAATGATACAAAATTGTAAAGTCAGAGACTTCAGGATATCATCCAAACTCAGACTTCTCCTTCTTCATAGGGATGCATGACCATGATATGATGGCCTGTTCTTTTATTTTTAAAAAAATCCCCAAAGAAGAGTCTTCTATGGCCTTACTCATAGAATCTAGTATTTTTTCCAACTTTTGGAATTAGAAAGTTCTTCAATTGTAGTACAAATCCACTATTATGAAGTCTATTTCTTCTTGTTTTAACCTCAGCTATGATGCCAAGGCACTGTCTACTACTCTATCTTAAATCTTCTTTCATATACTGGAAGAAAGTTAGGTAATTTATCCAAACTTTATAATCCAAATCACAAAGGTGGTCATTTGATCCTCTTAAATTAAGCCTTTAAAAATCTCATTTTATTTATTTCTTCTCAATTCCCTCTACTTCTTCTAGAACTGTTAGAAAGCATGCAATTTGAAATAGGACATAATACAAGTAAAATCATCCTACTATGTTTCAGTGAAGTGAAAATAGTAATGGAGAAGGAAACTGGTCTTCCAGTCTCAGTCCTGCTCAAAACATGCTGCTTTCCCCTAGATGAGCCATTTTATGTCTTTAGAACTCAATTTTTCTGAACATGAAAGATGCTAGTGTACTGGATTCCTCCCATTGATATTGTTCACTTATGGCTTAAGAGTAGATAGGGGACATCTATAAAAATTCTAAGATTCAAGGACATCCTTCCCAGGACCCAGAACATTCTAGTTGAATTCTTTGCTTTCTAAATAAAAGAATGTATGAAGAAATAAATAGGTAGACAGGTAGGTAGGTAGGTAGGTAGGTAGATAGATAGGTAGGTAGGTAGATAGATAGATAGATAGATAGATAGATAGATAGATAGATAGATAGATAGATACACAGACAGACAATAGAGTAGTTCAAGGGTTTCCAATACACTTAAAAAAAGAGAAAAGGAAAATATCTCTGTGTATATAATATGTCCTGGCAGCTATAAATAGATTGGTGACTATATAAGTGTTATTTTCAAAATTTTGTACAAGTTCATGTTTAATAGTCAAACATCAGCTTTTTGATGATGAGTTTGAGGTTTTTGGGCTATTCTTATGGAAAAGATGTAAATTTACAAGGAACCGCTGGAAATGAAGTTTTAAAATCATATGCATATGTAGAGGAGTTAGTGTCCAGAAAGAGAAAAAAGACAGTCATGTTCGGCTCCACATCTACTTCTAATTCACAGGATTCAGCTAACAATGACAAGTGATGTCTACTTCTACCACAGTGTAATAATATATGTTTTTAGAATACTCTCTGCTTCAGGAACTTCATCGTTAGAAAATGCAAATAATAGCTTTTAAAGAAAGGAATGACTTAGTGATTAGGGTATAAGATGTATGGAACTCACTAGGCCATATTCTGGAGGAGCTAGGGAAGTCTCAGATACAATTCCTTGAGACAAGTCTTTATCACCTCTAGATAAAGTTCAAATCCCTCAATATAGCAACTTGGCCATGCTGTAATTATTTATTTTGTTCCCTTCATCAATTTTCTAAACTTGAAGTTTCTACAATACTCGATGGAATTAATTTATCTGAGCCTTTGCACCTTTTATTTTCTCAGATTTGAATGCCTTACTTCCAACCCCCTTGACATCCTGCTACACTACTTGCTAGTCAAACAGGACTGAGATCTAGCAATACCACATTCACTTGTTCATCTATTCTTTCAACACGTGTATTTCAAACATCTGTTATCCCAAGATGAGAATGTAAAGTGAATTATACACATCTCCCACCCTTGAGCATCTTACAACATAGAAAGGAGAAAGAGACATGTAAATTAATATATTCGATACAACATTATGGAGACTGAGATGAGGTTAAGATAAAATGTGGGCCAAAAGGAAGAAGTGATTAACCTCAGATGAAAAACTGAGCAGGTGTTGCTTCCAGAAATTGATGTGTTTACCAAACAGGCTTTGGGAAATGTAGAAGAAGGCAATCAGGCAGAAATACATTGGGAACAATAAGAGCAAACACACAGAAGTATGAAATAGCTCAGTAAGAAAATTTATGTAGTAAGAGTATATATTGTGATAGAATGTGGTAAGATAAATGACTGGAAATGTTGGGAAAACAAAGGAAGGAGTTGAACTTTTGTTTTACAGTCATGGAGATCAATAACTTGAACAGACTTGTGTTTTAGAAAGAGCACTGTGGCTAAGGATCAGAGTATGGATTGAAGAGATAAAAAACCGGATGCAAAAAATATAATTAATAGATTATTATAGCCATCCATGTGAATACGGTGAAGGCCTGAATGAGAATAAAATGGTGGGGATAAACAAGAGGGGAAAGATTTTGAGATATAGGGAGGCATTATTTTTAGGTCTTGGTCAATGAAGGATGTGAGAAGTTATGTGAAATTTAGGTCTATTTCCTAGGTGCTTAGATCGATGGTCATACTATTCACTGAATTAGGTAACACAAACAGCAAGTTTAGTGAGTGGAGAAGTAGGTATCTTTTGGGGACATGTTGGGGTAACTTCAGCACATTAAGATGAAGATTCTAACTATAGATACTCTCTAGAGCTCAGAAGAGAGATTTCTTCCAAAAATGTATTATTGAGAATTGCCAGCGTGGTATTATTTTATGTCATGGCAGTAGATTACATAGAATTGGAATAGAAGACATTCTAGCAAGAGTCCTGCACACCACCACTATTTAAGAGGAAGAGGAAGGGAAGCCATCAAAAGACTTGAAAAGAAATGAACAGAAATAGAAGAACCAGGCAGAAAGTATCTCATTAGTCATTAGTGGAAAACTATTCAAAATCATGAATTACTAAAATCATGAATGAAAGAGGGAACATGACTACTGAGCTTGAAGAAATATGGAATGCAATGAAAAAGTGTATGTCAAAAAATCAGATGTCTATATAAAATGAATGAAGTTGTAGAAAAATAAAGCTATAAGAAATGACTAAAGAAGAAATTAAAAAAACTGAATATGCTTATTACAAGTAAGCAGATTGAGTTAGTGATCAAAAGAACTACCCACAAAGAAAAGCCTAGGATCAGATCATTTCTCTGGTGAATTCTACCAAATGCTTTAAAAAGAATTAACTCTTCCAAAAAGAGAATAGGGAAAAACACTTTTTAATTTATTCTATGTTGTCAGCATTACCCTGAATAATAAAAAGGGCATCATATTAAAACTACAGATAAATATCTTTTATAAATATAGATGCAAAAATCCTCAAGCTAATGCAAGCAAATTGAGTAAAACAGCAAATAAAAAGATTTATACACCATGACCAGGTGAGATTCGTCTCAGGAATGTAAAGTTAATTCAACATATGAAAATAAATCAATGCATTACTCCATATTAAGATAAAGGAAAACACATATGGTCAATTCAATGGATGAAGAAAGGGCATTTGACAAAATCCAACACACTTTCAAGATAAAAACATGCAACAAATTAAGAAGAGAAGGAAAAGTCTTCAAGTGACAACAGGCACTTATGAAAAACTCGCAGCTAACATCTAACTTAATAGTAGAAACTGAAAGCTTTTCTCATAAGGTCAGAAGCAAGATGGAAATGTTGCTCTCACCACTTCCTTTCACCATTAAATGGAAGAGTCTAGACAGAGAAATTAAGCAATAAAAAGAAATAAAATGCATCAACATTGGAAAGATAGAAGTAAAACTATCTCTATTTGAGGATGACCCTTTCTCTCTCTCTATATATATATACACACACACGCACACACACACACATATGTATACACACAATACTCCTAAAGAATCCACAGAAAAACTATCAAAGCTAATCCAGCAGGTTTGTAGGACAAAAGATCAACACACATGAAAACAAATTTTAATTTTATACACTAACAAGAAACAATCTGAAATAAAATTTTAAAAAACAATTCAATTTACAGTAACATCAAAAACAATATAATACTGATGAATACATTTAACTATGAAAGGAAAGGTTTGTACACTGAAAACTATAAAATATTGTTAAAAGAAATTAAAGAAGACCTAAATAAATGAAAAGATATCTATGTTCATGGATTAGAAGACTTGATATTGTTAAGATGGCAATACTTCTCAAATTAATCTGGAGATTCAACAAAATCTTATCAAAATTATAACTGAATTTTTTATAGAAATGGGGAAATTAGTCCTAAGATTTATATGGAATTGTAAGGGACCCAGAATAGCCAGGCAATCCTGAAAAAGAAAACGAACTTGGAATACTCACACTTCTGAATTTCAAATGCTGCTCAAAAGCTACAATAATCAAGTGTGTTTTGCTAGCATAAGGATAGATAAATAATAAAATGTAATTGAAAGTTCAAAAATAAATTATATATCAATAAGTGTGCCAAGAGCATTCAACAGGAAAAGAAAAGTCTTTCAAACAAATATTGTTGGGAGAACTGATTATCCACATGAAAGAAATAAAATTGGACTCCTCTTTTGCATAATATTAAAAAACTGACTCAAAGTGCATCAAAGACCTAAATATAAAAGCTAAACCTATACAATCTTTATAATAAAACAGAAGTATAAATCTTCATGATTTTGGCTTAGGCAATGGTTTCTTATGTATGACACTAAACGCAATAGGTGTAAACAGAGAAAAAAATATGTGAATTTGACTTCATCAGAATCAAAACTTTTGTGCCCCCAAAATGCTCTCAAGAAAGTGAAGAGAAACCCACATAATGGGTTTTAGAAATTGAAGAGAAACTCACATAAGAAAGTGAAGAGAAACCCACATAATGGGAGAAAACATTTGCAAATAGTATATACATGTTCATATCCAGGGCATAAAAGGTATTGTTACAACTGAACAATAACAAGACAATCCAATTAAAAATGAGCAAAGTATTTGAATATACATTACTACAAAGAAGATATTCAAATAGCCAACAGATGCTTGAAAAAATGCTCAGCAGCATTAGTTTTTAGTGAGAAATAGATAAAAACCACAATGCAATACTACTTCACACTCACTAGGATGGTGATAATTAAAAAAATAACAGGCTGGGTGTGGTGGCTCACACCTGTAATCCTAGCACTTTGGGAGGCTAAGGCGGGGGAATCACCTGAGGTCAGGAGTTCAAGACCAGCCTGGCCAACATGGCAAAACCCCACCTCTACTAAAAATACAAAAATTAGCCGGGCATGGTGGTGGGCACCTGTAATCCCAGCTACTTGGGAGGCTGAGGCAGGAGAATTGCTTGAACCTGGGAGGTGGGGATTGCAGTGAGCCAAGACTGTGCCACTGCACTCTGGCCTGGGTGACAGAGTGAGATTCTGTCTCGAAAAACAAAAACAAAAACAAACAAAAATAAATAACAAAACAATTGTTTCTGAGGATGCAGAGAAATTGGCACCCTCATACATTGTTGATGGAATTATAAAATGGTACAACTGCTGTGGACAATGTTTTGGCCTGTAATCCCAGCACTTTGGGAAGCCAAGGCAGGCGGATCACCTGAGGTCAGGAGTTCAAGACCAGCCTGGTCAACATGGCGAAACCCTGTCTCTACTAAAAATACAAAAAAAGAAAAAAATCAGCCAGGCATGGTGGTGGGCACCTGTAATCCCAGCGACTTGGGAGGCTGAGGCAGAAGAATCGCTTGAACCCGGGAGGCGGAGGTTGCAATGAGCCAAGACTGTGCCATTGCACTCCAGCCTGGACAACAAAAATGAAACTCCGTCCCGGAAAAAAAAAAAAAAAAGAAGAAGAAGAAGTTTGTTAGTGAGTGCTAAGGCACTTTATGCTTGGGATCCCAGCTATTATGAACAAATATGCCAGCCCACACTCTGCCCTTTAAAATTTCTTATAATGTTAACAGAGTTCTTCCCACTGATTTGAATGATGGCCATTTCTGTCTTTCATCCTCTGCCAAAAAGAAAAGAATTTAGAAGTCCTGTTTATCCTCAAAAGGTCTTGTCACTCTGGGGAATTCTGATCATTTGGCTGCCATGAAAGCTCAGGTCTCTGATGGGCTCAAGAAAATAGATGATTTAAGTATTTTATTATTATTATTATTATTTGCAGATTATCCAGGTTTTTCTCAGTGGTAGGGTAGGAATAATGTTCACTTGAGGCTTTCTATATTCTTATGTAGAAACATAACCTTCCAACTCTTCTTAATTTAATTATGGTAATTTGTGCCTTCCAAAGAGATTGTCCATTTCAACTAAGTTTTCAAATTGACAGGCATAAATCTCTTCCTGATATTCCTTAACATACCCTGTCTATAGGATATGCAGTGATGATCCCTATTTCATTTCTGATATTGGTAATCTGTTTCTCTATTTTCTCGATTAACCTGCTTAGGTATTTTTCAGCTTTGTTGATATTATAAAGGAACATTTTTATTCTTTTTTTCTATTGTGCATCTTTTATATTGATTTTTGAAATTTTATTTTTTATGTGCTTCCTTCTACTAACTTTGCATTTAATTTGTTGATTTTCTAGTTTTGTGGCTCACTTCTTTTCTAACACGCATATTTAAAGTATAAATTTCCCTCTTAATACTGCTGAAGCAGCATCTCCCAGATTTTGATATGTCGTGTTTCATTTTTTTTAACTTTTATTTTAGGTTCATGGGTACATGTGCAGGTTTGTTATACGGGTAAATTGTGTTCATAGGGGTTTGATGTACAGACTATCTCATCACCCAGGTAATAAGCATAGTACCTGATAGGTAGGTAGTACCTGATAGTAGTTATTCTTTTTGTTTTTTTGTTGTTGTTGTTGAGACGGAGTTTCACTGTTTTTGCCCAGGCTGGAATGCAATGGCGCGATCTCGGCTCACTGCAACCTCCGCCTCCTGGGTTCAAGCCATTCTCCTGCCTCAGCCTCCTGAGTAGCTGGGATTACAGGCATGCACCATCACACCCAGCTAATTTTGCATTTTTAGTAGAGATGGGGTTTCACCATGTTGGTCAGATTGGTCTTGAACTCCAGACCTCAGGTGATCTGCTCACCTCCGCCTCCCAAAGTGTTGGGATTACAGGCTTGAGCCACTGTGCCAGTCCCTGATAGGTAGTTTTTCAATTCTCACCCCCTCCCAGTCTCCACCCTCAAGTAGGCCCTGGTATCTGTTTTTCCCTCCTCTGTGTCCATGTGTACTCAATGTTTACCTTACACTTATAAGTGAGAGTACGTGGTATTTGGCTTTCTGTTCCTGTGTTAGTTTGCTTAAGTTAATGATCTCCGGCTCTGTCCATGTTGCTGCAATGTACATGATCTTATTCTTTTTATGGCTGCATATTATTCCCTGGTGTATATGTACTACATTTTATTTATCCGGCCTGCCATTCATGGGCATTTAGGTTGATTCCATGCCTTTGCTATTGTGAATAGTGCTGTGATTAACATATACATACAGGTCTCTTTATGGTAGAAATATTTATATTCCTTTAGGTATATACCCAGTAATGGGATTGCTGGGTGAATGATAGTTCTGTTTTAAGTTCTTTGAGAAATCCCTAATTACTTTTCACAATAGCTAAACTAATTTACATTTCCACCAGCCAGGTATAAGCATTCCCTTTTACCTGAAACCTCACCAGCATCTGTTATTTTATGACTTTTTAATAATAGTCATTCTGCCTTGTGTAAGATGGTATCTCTTTGTGGTTTTGATTCACATTTCTTTAATGATTAGTGATATTGAGTATTTTTTCATGTGCTTGTTGGCCACATGTATGCTTTTTTTTTTTTTTTTTGAAAAGTGTCTGTTTACATCCTTTGCCCACTTTTTTATGGGGTCATTTGTTGTTTGCTTGTTAATTTGTTTAAATTCCTTACAGATGCTGGATATTAGTCCTTTGTCAGATGCATAGTTTGCAAAATTTTTCTCCCATTCTGTAGTTTGTCTGTTTACTTTGTTGATAGTTTCTTTCGCTGTGCAAAAGCTCTTTAGTTTTATTAGGTCCCATATGTCAATTCGTTGTTGTTGTTGTTGCAATTGCTTTTGGCATCTTCATCGTGAAATCTTTGCCAGTTCCTATTTTCAGAATAGTATTTCCTAGGTTATCTTCAGGGTTTTTACAGTTTTAGGTTTCTTATTTAAGTCTTTAATCAATCTTGAGTTGGTTTTTATATATGGTGTAAGGAAGGGGTCCAGTTTCAATCTTCTGCATATGGGTAGCCGGTTAGCTCAGCAACATTTATTGAATAGAGAGTCCTTTCCCCACTGCTTGTTTTTGTCTGTGTACTAGTCTGTTCTTACACTGCTAATAAAGACACACCAGAGACTGGGTAATTTATAAAGGAAAGAGATTTAATTGACTCACAGTTCCACATGGCAGGGGAGGCCTCACAATCCTGGTAGAAAGTGAAGGGGAAGAAAGACATATCTTACTTGGCAGAAGGCAAGAGAGCTTGTGCAGGGGAACTCCCATTTATAAATGCATCAGAGCTCATGAGACTTATTTACTACCACAAGAACAGTATGGGGGAAACCACTCCCACGATTCAATTATCTCCACCTGGCCCCACCCTTGACAAATGGGGTTTATTACAATTAAAGGGGAGATTTTGGGGGGGACACAGCCAAACCATATCAGTCGACTTTGTTGAAGATAAGATGGCTGCAGGTGTGTGGCTTTATTTCTGGGCTCTCTATTCTGTTCCATTGGTCTAGCTGTCTGTTTTTGTACCACTACCATGCTGTTTTGGTTACTGAAGACTTGTAGTATTTGAAGTCACGTAATCTGGTGCTTCCAGCTTTGTTTTTGTTTTTGTTTTTGTTTTGGCTTGGATTACTTTGGCTATTTGTACTTTTTCTTGGTTCCATATAAATTTTAAATATTTTTTTCTAATTCTATGAAGAATATCATTGGTAATTTGATAGGAATAACATTGATTCTGTAAACTGCTTTGGGGAGCATGGCCACGTTAACAATATTGATTCTTACTATCTGTAATCGTGTAATGTTTTTTCATTTGTTTGTATCATCTCTGATTAGTTTCAGGAGTGTTTTGTAATTCTCATTGTAGACATCTTTCACCTCTCTGGTTACCTATATTCCTAGATATTTTATTCTTTTTGTGGTTTTTGTGAATGTGATCACATTTTTGATTTGGCTGTCAGCTTGGATGTTGTTGGTGTATACAAATACTACCAATTTTCATACATTGATTTGTATGCTGAAATTTTGCTGAGGTTGTTTATCAGATCTAGGAGCATTTCACAGAGAATATGGGTTTTTCTAGGTACAGAATCACATCATCTGCAAACAGATAGTTTGACTTCTTCTCTTCCTATTCAGATGCCTTTTACTTTTTTCTTGTGCCTGATTGCTCTGATTAGAACTTCCAGTACTATCTTGAATAGGAGTGTTAAGAGAGAATATCCTTGTCTTGTTCTGGTTTTCAAAAGAAATACTTCCAGTCTTTGCCCATTTGGCTGTAGGTTTGTCATAGATGGCTCTTACTATTTAGAGATATCTTCCTTCAATGCATAGTTTATTGTGGGTTTTTAACATGAAGAGATCTTGAATTTTGTTGAAAGCTTTTACTGCACCTATTGAGATGATCATGTGTTGTTTGGTTTTAGTTCTGTTTATGTGATGAATCACATTTACTGATCTGTATATGTTGAACCAATCTTATATCCCAGGGATAAAGCCTACTTAATCATGGTGGATTAGTTTTTCATATGCTGCTAGATTTGGTTTGTTAGTATTTTGTTGAGGATTTTTGCATCTATGTTCATCAAGGATATTAGCCTAAAGTTTTCTTTTTTTGTTGTGCCTGCACCAGGTTTTGGTGTCAGAGTGATGCTGGCCTCATAGAATGAATTAGGGAGGAGTCCCTCCTTTTCAACTTTTTGGAAAAGTTTTAGTAGGAATGGTACCAGTTCTTGTTTAAATATCTGGTAGAATTCATCTGTGAATTCATCTGGTCTGAGGCTTTTTCTGGTTGGCAAGCTTTTTGCTGCTGATTTAATTTTGGAACTCATTATTTGTCTGTTTGGGGTTTCAATTTCTTCCTGGTTCTATCTTGGGAGGTTGTATATGTTCATGAATTTATCAATTTCATTAGGTTTTCTAGTTTGTATGCATAGAGGTGTTCATAAGTCTCTGAGGGTTTTTTGTATTTCTGTGGGGTTGGTGGTAATGTCCTATTTGTCACTTCTGATTGTGTTTATTTGGATCTTCTCTCTTTTCCTTTATTAGTCTAGCTAGTATTCTATCAATCTTATTTACTCTTTCAAAAAACCAACACCTTTTGGATTTGTTGATCTTGTGTATGGTATTTTGCATCTTAATTTCATTTAGTTCAGCTCTGATTTTGGCTATTTCTTGTCTTCTGCTAGCTTTGGCTTTAGTTTGATCTTACTTTTCTAGTTTTTCTAGATGTGATGTTAGGTTGTTAACTTGAGATCTTTCTAACTTTTGATGTTAGAGTTTAGCATTGCAAACTTTCCTCTTAACGCTGCTTTGGCTATGTCCCAAAAATTCTGGTATATTGTAATTTGTTCTCATTAATTTAAAATTTCTTGATTTCTGCGTTAATTTTTTTGCTTACCCAAAAGTCATTCAGGAGCAGGTTGTTTAATGTCCATGTTTATTATGTGATTTTGAGTGATCTTCTTAGTATTGATTTTTATTTTTATTGTGCTGTGGTCCATCAGTGTGGTTGGTATGATTTGGGTTTTTTTGCATTTGCAGATAATTGTGTTATGGTCAAATGTGTTGTCAGTTTTAGAGTATGTGCCATGTGCAGGTGAGAAGAATATATATTTTGTTATTTTGGGATAAAGAGTCTGTAGATATCTGTTAGGTCTACTTGGTCAAGTGTCAAGTTCAGGTCCTGAATATCTTTGTTAGTTTTCTGCCTCAATGATCTGTCTAATACAATCAGTGGGGTGTTGAAGTCTCCCATTATGATTGTGTGATTATCTAAGTCTCTTTGTAGGTCTCTAAGAAATTATCTTATAAATCTGTGTATTCTTGTCTTGGGTACCTATATGTTTAGGATAGTTAGGTTTTCTTGTTGAATTGAACCCTTTACCATTATGTATGTAATGCCCTTCTTCATCTTTTTTGATCATTGTTGGTTTAAAGTCTGTTTTGTCTAAACTTAGAACAGCAACCCCTGCTTTTTTGTTTTCTGTTTGCTCAGTCAATTTTTCTCCATTCTTTTAGTTTGAGTCTCTGCATGTCATTACATGTGAGATGGGTCTCTTGAAGACAGTATACATTTGGGTCTTGCTTCTTTATCCAACTTGCCACTCTGTGCCTTTCAATTTTATCTCATTTACATTCAAAGTTCATATTGAGCATGTGTCTTTCTAGCAGCATGATTTATAATCCTTTGGGTATATACCCAGTAATGGGATGGCTGGGTCAAATGGTATTTCTAGTTCTAGATCCTTGAGGAATAGCCACACTGTCTTCCACAATGGTTAAACCAGTTTACAGTCCCACCAACAGTGTAAAATATTCCTATTTCTCCACATCCTCTCTAGCACCTGTTGTTTCCTGACTTTTTAATGATTGCCATTCTAACTGGTGTGAGATGGTATCACATTGTGGTTTTGATTTGCATTTCTCTGATGGCCAGTGATGATGAGCATTTTTTCATGTGTCTGTTGGCTGCATAAATGTCTTCTTTTGAGAAGTGTCTGTTCATATACTTCACCCACTTTTTGATGGGGTTGTCTGTTTTCTTTTTGTAAATTTGTTTGAGTTCTTTGTAGATTCTGGATATTAGCCCTTTGTCAGATGAGTAAATTGCAAAAATTTTCTCCCATTCTGTAGGTTGCCTGTTCACTCTGATGGTCATTTCTTTGGCTGTGCAGAAGCTCTTTAGTTTAATTAGATCCCATTTGTCAATTTTGGCTTTTGTTGCCATTGCTTTTGGTATTTTAGACATGAAGTCCTTGCCCATGCCTATGTCCTGAATGGTATTGCCTAGGCTTTCTTCTAGGGTTTTTATGGTTTTAGGTCTAACATTTAAGTCTTTAATCCATCTTGAATTAATTTTTGTATAAGGTGTAAGGAAGGGATCAAGTTTCAGATTTCTATATATGGCTAACCAGTTTTCCCAGCACCATTTATTAAATAGGGGATCCTTTTGCCATTTCTTATTTTTGTCAGGTTTGTCAAAGATCAGATGGTTGTAGATGTGTGGTATTATTTCTGAGGGCTCTGTTCTGTTCCATTGGTCTATACGTGTGTTTATTGCAGCACTATTCACAATAGCAAAGTCTTGGAACCAACCCAAACGTCCATCAGTGATAGGCTGGATTAAGAAAATGTGGCACATATGCACCATGGAATACTATGCAGCCATAAAAAAGGACGAGTAAATGTCCTTTGTAGGGACATGGATGAAGCTGGAAACCATCATTCTCAGCAAACTATCGCAGGGACAAAAAAACCAAACACTGCATGTTCTCACTTATAGGCGGGAATTGAACAATGAGAACACTTGGACACAGGAAGGGGAACATCAGACACCAGGGCCTGTCGTGGGGTGGGGGGAGGGGGAAGGGATAGCATTAGGAGATATACCTAATGTAAATGACGAGTTAATGGGTGCAGCACACCAACATGGCACATGTATACATATGTAACAAACCTGCACGTTGTGCGTATGTACCCTAGAACTTAAAGTATAATTTTAAAAATGTATAGAACTATATATATCATAAAAATTAATTTTAAAAATCAGGATTAGCTATTTGAATATCAGATAAGCTAGATTTCATAGCAAAGAAAATCACCATAATCAGAGAGGGGCATTACATAATGATAAGCAGGTCGAACAACGAAGAAGGCATAGTGATTCTAAATGTTTATGCAGCAAACAACAGAGCTTGAAAATACGTCAAATTTAAATTGGTAGAACTAACACTGAAAATAGACAAGCCAACAATTAGAGACAGAGACTCCAACAACCTCTCCCAACAACTGATAGAACAACTAGGGAGGTAATCAACAAGGATGTAGAAAAAAATCAACACCACAGTCAAGCAACAAGATTTAATGGACATTTATAGAACGCTTCCCCCAACAACAGCAGAACTCAAATGGCAACAGAATATATTTTGAGACAATATTCTGGGCTGTAAAACAAACCTTAGCAAATTTAAAAGTTGTGAAATTATACAGCATGTTCTCTACAATATAATCAAACTGGAAATCAATTAACAGAAAAATAAACAGGAAAAATCTACAAACACACTGAAACTAAATAGCACACTTCTAAATAATCCATAGGTCAAGGAGGAAGTCTGAAAGGAAATAAAAATTCATTGAACTGAATTAAAATGAAAATACAATATTTCAAAATTTATGGGAAACTGCTAAAGTAGTACATAGACGAAAATTTATAGTACTAAATGCATACATTGGAAAAGAGGAATAGTCTCAGACCAATAACCTAAGTTCCCACCATAAGAACTCAGAAAAAGAGCAAAATAAACCCAAAGCAAGCAGAAGGAAGGAAATCATAAGGATCAGAACTGAAATCAATTAGGTTGTAAACAGAAAAACAATAAAAATAAATGAAACAAAGTCTGGTTCCTCAAAATGATTTAAAAAATAAATCTTTAGCAAGACTCACAAGGGAAAAAAAAAAGAAAACACAAATTGTCAATATCACTGAAGACACAGACAATATCAATATAGACCTTGTCTACATCAAAAGAATAATAAAGTAAATATGATGAATAAAAAAAGTTCATATTTATATGTGGGTTTTGATCTTGTCATCATGTTGTTAGCTGATTATTATGCAGACTTGATTTGTAGTTACTTTATAGTGTCAATGGTCTATGTACTAAAGTGTGTTTTTGTGAGGCCAGTAACAGTCATTCCTTTCATATTTAGCACTCCCTTAAGGACTTCTTCTAAGGCATGTCTGGTGGTAATAAATTCCCTTACATATGCTTGTCTGAAAAAAAAATCTTATTTCTTCTTCACTTATGAAGCTTAGCTTGCTTGGATATGAAATTCTTGGTTGGAATTTCTTTTCATTAAGAATTCTTCATATAGGCCCCTAATCTCTTCTGGCTTGCAGGGTTTCTGCTGAAAGGTCTGCTGTTACCTGTTGACCTTCCCTTTGTAGGTGAGCTGCCCCTTCTCTCTAGCTGTCTTTAACATGTTTTACTTCATTTTGACCTTGGAGAACCTGACGACTATGTGTCCTGGGGATGATTGTCTTGTATAGTATCTCACAAGGTTCTTTGCATTTCCTGAATTTGAATATTAGCCTCTCAAGCAAGGTTCAATAAATTTTCACGGACCATGTCCTCAAATATTTTTTCCAAGTTGTTTTCTTTCTTTCTCTCTCTCTCTTTCAGGAATGCAAATGAGTTATAGAATTTGTCTCTTTTCGTAATCCTATATTTCCCAAAGGTTTTGTTCATTCATTTTTATTCTTTTTCTTTATGTTTGTCTGTCTGAGTTATTTTGGAGAACCTGTCTGTGAGCTTTGAGATTCTTTCTTCAGTTTGGTTTATTCTGCTGTTAATACTTGTGATTGTATTGTAAGTTCTTGAAGTGAGATTTTCAGCTCTGTTAAATTAGTTTGGTTCTTTCTTATAACGGCCATTTCATCTTTCCTCTCCTGTATCATTTTATTGTTTTCCTTAGATTGGGTTTCAACTTTCTCCTGAATCTCAATGATCTTCATTCCTATCTATATTCCGAATTCTGTGCCTGTCATTTCAGTCACTTCAGCAACTTCAGCCTGATTAAGAACCACTGCTGGTGAACTAGTGTGGCCATTTGGAGGTAGGAAGACAATCCAGCTTTTTAAGTTGCCACAATTCTTGTGCTGGCTCTTTCTCATTTGTGTGAGCTGATGTTTGTTCAATCTTAGCAGTTGCTGTCCTTTGGGTGGGGTTTTTTGCTTTTATCTTCTTTGATGCCCTTGGGTATTTGATTGTGGTATAAGGTGGGTTCAGTCAGCTGGCTTTGCTTCTAGAAGATTTTAGGGGACCATGGCTCAGCTTGGCAGTCCTGGAATGTGTGCTTTGGCTCTGAAGGTCTGGGACCAAGCCCCTTGCTTTGTTCTCTGGCCCCTTGAGGTTAGGAATCTGTAGTGTTGGAGGGGCCGAGGTGTTCTCAGTCTGTAGGTCACAACACTCTGATGGGGGGGTGTCAGGCAAAGTACTTCATCAGGGCAGTGGCAGTGGGATACATGCTTGCTTGCACATGCCAGCAGCCACAGCAGTGTGATGAAGTGCATGCACATTGGCTTGAGATGGCCACTGGTGGGAGTGGGGTGGTGACATTTCTCTGTAAGCTCCCGCCAGTGGTGGTGACTGTGCAGCAGGGGTGAGGCACTGGGAAGGGCAGATTTGCTGGCGTCCATGCACATGTTTGCACCAGAGGTGGCAGAGGTGTAACAGGGGCTCATTTTCATTCAGTTCAAAACATTTTCTAATTTTCCTGTGCTGTTTTTTGTTTTTTTTTTTTCCTTTTTTAACCATGGGTACTTACTAGAGAAGTGCTTAAAATTCAAAATGCTGAGGTTATTCTGGGTATTGTTCTGTTGTTTATGTCTAATCTAATTCCACAGCGGTGCAAAAACAAACTATTTCTGATTTCAATCCTTTTAACTCCATGCGCATTTTTTTTCTTTTTTTTTTTTTCTTTTTTTTTTTTGAGACGGAGTCTTACTCTGTCACCCAGGCTGGAGTGCAGTGTCGCAATCTCAGCTCACTGGAACCTCTACCTCCCAGGTTTAAGCGATCCTCCTGCCTCAGCCTCTCGAGTAGCTAGGATTATAGCTAGGATTACAAGCATGTACCACCATGTCCGGCTGATTTTTCTGTTGTATTTTTAGTAGAGAAGGGGTTTCACCATGTTGGCCAGGCTGATCTCAAACTCCTGCCCACCTCGGCCTCTGGGATTACAGGTGTGAGCCACCATGCCCAGCCTCATATGCACTTTAAAAGGATGTATATTTGGCAGTTGTTTCATGCAATGTTTTAGAAATATCAATTGAGTAAATATGGTTAATAATGTTATTCAATGCTTCTACATTTTTCTGATTTTCTGCCTGCTTGTTCTACTGGTTCCTAAGAGGAGAATGTTTAAGTCTCCAACTTAACTATGGATAATTATAAATGTGTCTGTTTCCCTTTTCAGTTCCGTCAATTTTTGCTTCTATATGAAAGCTTTATAATTGAGTGTATGCATAGTTAACCCTATTGTGTCTTCTGAATTGAAATATTTATCATGGCAAAATGTAATATTCTGATAACATTCCTGCTAATATTCCTTGTTCTGAACAGTAACTTTTCTGATGTTAATGAGATCATTCCAGCTTTCTTATAGTGTTTCATATTATGCATTTTTCCACTTCCCTTTTAAGTTGCTTTCATCTTTATATCTAAAGTAAATTTCTTATTTCCAACATAAGGGTCTTGCTTTTTTATTCAGTCTTACAATGCCTGACCTTGGAATCTACTTGTCTTCGTCTGTTCTTTGTTTCTTTTCCCCTCTTTTCCTTTTGTCTTTTGGATTTATTGATGAATTATTACTATTTCATTTTATGTCCATTCTTGGGTTATTATCTATTTATCTTTGTTTTAATTTTTGTTGATTGCTCCAGGGTTTATAAAAATCATGTTAAAATATCTCACTATGCCGTGAACTAATGTTATGTCACTTTATCTGTAATATAACAACCTTACAATATTTATATTTACTCCCTTTTCACCCTTTGTGCTCCTTTTTTTTTTTTTTTTTTTTTTTTGAGATGGAGTCTCCTCTGTCACCAAGCTGGAGTGCAGGGGCATGATCTCTGCTCACTGCAATCTCTGCCTCCCAGCTTCAAGTGATTCTCTTGCCTCAGCCTCCCAAGTAGCTGGGACTACAGGTGTGCGCCACCATACCTGGCTAATTTTTGTATTTTTAGTAGAGAAAGGTTTTCACTATGTTGGCCAGGATGGTCTCGATCTCCTGACCCTGCCCATCTTGGCCTCCCAAAGTGCTGGGATTACAGGCGTGAGCCAGCGGTGCCTGTCCCTTTGTTCTACCTTTTGAGGCATATAAGTTACTGTTTCCTATGAACACCACAATTTATTATTCATATTTTTGCTTTAAGCTGTAAACCTCATTTTAAAGAAAAAATTTAAAAAGAGACAAAGCTATATTTTTACATTTACTCATTACTTAATGTTTTCACCGCTTTTGTGTGTGTGTAAATATAAAATCCAGTTAGTATCATTATACATTTGTTTAAAGTACAGCCATCCTTTGGTATCTGTGGGGGACTGGATCCAGGACCCTCTGAGAATACCAAAATTCATGGATGCTCAAGTTCCTTTATAAAATAGTTTAGCATTTGCTTATAATCTACACATATCTTCCCATACATTATGAAACATTTCTAGATTACTTGTAATGCCTAATACAATGTAAATACTATATAAATAGTTGTTACGCTGTATTACTTAGAGAATAATGACAAGAAAAGTCTGCATATAAATGATGTGGTTCTGATGACTGGAGAAACACCAGGGGCCTTGGTCTCACGCCGATACGATTAACTTCACGGACACACATGGAGCGGTTTTAAGGAGTGAAAAGTTTAATAGGCAAGAAAGAAGAAAGAAAGAAGAAAACGTCTCTCCTGTACACAGGGAGGGAGTCTCTGAATGGAGAAACCCTGCATGCTGCGGAAAGCAGTTGGCTGTATTGGGAGGCGGGAGGAGGCGGTGTCTGATGTGCATAGGGCCCATGGGATTGGTTTGACAGGTGTGTCATTCACGTAGTCCTTGAAAAAACTGGCGCTCCCACTCAAGTCTTTTAATATGCAAATACAGGTCGCCAAGGATGTCCTGCACATGTGGTGTTATCTGAAGGCGGCCATGACACCTGGCACATGTGGTGACAAGGAGAAGAGGGTGGGAACTGCCACGTTGGGCGTACTTTCTAATAGCCTGCATTTGCATATCAATGGTTGCTGGTCTGGCGGCCTTTCTGTCAGAAAAGAAATGTTTTGGGAGCTGTTTTTTTTTTTTTTTTTTTAAATAAGAAGACTTACCAAGGACTCCTTACCTTTACTACCTGCCTAAAATAATTTCTTAATAACTCCTACATTATTCCTCCCTGAAGAGAAGTAAACCTAACTGCTGTTGGGGTGTTGGACGACGATTCTTTCTGGCTACTTCCTGCTGAAAAGGGGCATTCATTGTGCGGGGGAACAGCAGTTGAGCCTTCTTCTGAGGTTGATCTAAGGGTTCTTGGAAGAATGGCATGTCCATGTGGGCTCTGCTCACAGCACTGTTTGGAGTTTGACTGCTTCTAGATGGAAAGAGATAAATTTTACAAGTTTAAAATATAGTGTTAGAATGTAAGTGTTAAGATTACCACCATTTGTGGGGGTTCTATAGACCATAACTGACAATAGAGCTTGATACCCGTTAGTTACACCTACCGAGGACTCCTGACCCTTACTATCTGCCTGAAATAATTTCTTAGTAACTCCTATATTATGATAAATACAGATGCAACAATCTTTAAAAAAAATTATCCACAATTTGTTGAATCCATGAATGCAGAACCCACAGCTATAGAGAGTCTACTGTATTTTATTTAATATTTCTTATAGTGTAGGTCTACTGGGGACTTAAAAATCTGAACTTTTTTTAGTCTGAAAACTTACCTCTAATTTTTAAACTATATTGTTATTGGATGTGGAATTCTAGGTTAACTTAATTTTTTAATATAATTTTAAAGATGTAATTTTATTGTCTTCTGCCTTGCATAGTTTCAGACAAGAAATGTGCTGTAATTCTTATTTTTGTCCTCTCTATATAATGTGTCTTTTACTCTGTTTTTTACTTAAATTTTTTTTCTTTATTGGCAGTTTTCAAACATTTTTTGTTGAAAATCTTAGATCTGTGAGTTTATAATTTTTATCAAATTTGGGAAATTTTCAGCTATTGTTTCTTGAAATACTTTTTCTCTCTCCTCCATTTTGGTTTCTAATTTCATGTATTGTCTCCCACTTAATTACAGAGGTTCTATCAAAAGTTTTACCACTTTTTTTTTCTTTTTGTTTCATCTGCTAGTTTCTATCACTATATTTTAAGTTCATGGATTGCCTCTAACATAATTTCTAACCTGCTTCTATTTCTTAAAGTATTTTTAACTTGAGATATTATATTTTTTCATCTCCAGAAGTCCATTTGAATCTTTTAAAAATATTTCCCACATTTCTATTCATTATTTCATGCTTTCTTTTAAATTCTTGAACATTAAAAACTACCTAGATTATTTAAAGTTTTTTCCTGCTAAGATCATATCTGTCATTTCTAGGTATGTTTCTGTTGACCAGTTATATATTATATTGTTTCTATTTTTCTTCTGTTAATGTGTCACATTTTCCTGCCTCTTTGTATGTATAATAAATTTTTACTAGATTGTCATTTTCATGCTTTCAAGTGCTGTATTTTATTGTATTTCTTTAAATGGTATTGGCTTTTGTTCTGGCAATTAGTTAAATTACTTGTGATCAGTTTTATCCTTTTAAGCCTTGTTTTCAAGCTTTTTAAGAGAAGGTTTAGAGTAATGTTACTCTAAAGACTGTTTAGCACCACTATCGAGGCATGACTTTTCTGGAGTCTTTATTAATGGCTCAGCTGTTGAACAAGGACTCTCTATTCTAGGTGGTTAGAACTTAAATATTTCCCAGACCTGTGTAAAATCTAGGAACTATTTATCTTACAAATTCACAACACTTTTTTTGGTCTAGCCTCATAGGGTTCTATCCTCATGAGGCAGCATAATAGTCAACAGTCATTTAAATGGAACCCCTAATGCGTATTTTTAGAGCTCTTTATGCATTTCCCACTTTCTGAGTATTCTTCTCTAAACATGTCTGGCACCTCAGCCTCCCTGAACTCTTTTCTCTGTCTTCTTGATTCAGCCAGTCTGCCATGCTTTATTTGGTATATCCCCCCTACACTGAGCTGCATAAAAGTCTCTAAGCAGAGAACAAAGACTGTCGTAGAACTCACATCATTCATTTGCCTTCTCTCAGGAATCAGTCCTCTGATGTCTATTGACCACTGCCTAAAAACCACTGCCCTATGTATCTTTTCAGTTTTCTATTATTTACTATGGAGTAATAAGTTTAATCCCAGTTATTAGGTTGGTACAAAAGTAATTTTGCCATTACCTTTAATGGCAAAAACTGCAATTACCTTTGCACCAACCTAATATTTTTATCATAGCTGAAACTCACTAAACCTTAACTTGTTTTTTGATTTTATCCTATAAAGTATGCTGTTGGAAGCCAATTTCCCACAGGTCTCTCACACGTCTGTACATCTTGTGAACAAGACACTAATTGCCTTTTGTTTCTAACTGTCTTTTCAAGGACCTTTTTAAGCAAACAATCTTGAAAGACAGAAATACTGTCCCTCAGAACAAAGGGCAGATTGTCTTACAGCCTTGGAAGATCGAGATAGTATCTCTTTCTGGAGCAATGGCAGGCATACTTACTTCTTTTTAAAACAATTTGTGTTCCCTAAGCTCCCTACGTTCCCAAGGCTCCTGTCCTGCAAAAAACTCACTGTATTTATAGTCATCTTCTGACCCTCTTCACTAAGAAAATTGGGGCTTGAAGAGCTGCTGCAAAATGCTAAGATTCTGTCTGCTGTTACTGCTGTCAGCAATAAATTGTCTTTTGTCTCTGACCCCAGAAGTGTCATCTTTTCTTTTTTTTTCTTTTTTTTTTTTTTGAGACAGTCTCGCGCTGTCGCCCAGGCTGGAATCCAGTGGCACAACCTCGGCTCACTGCAAGCTTCGCCTCCTGGGTTCATGCCATTCTCCTGCCTCAGCCTCCCGAGTAGCTGAGACTACAGGCACCCGCCACCATGCCTGGCTAATTTTTTGTATTTTTAGTAGAGATGGGGTTTCACTGTGTTAGCCTGGATGGTCTCGATCTCCTGACCTCATGATCTGCCCACCTCGGCCTCTCAAAGTGCTGGGATTGCAGGCGTGAGCCACCATACCCAGCCAAGTCTCATGTTTTCTACTATCATCCATGAAACTGTGACAGAATAAATTTGTTAGCTTGTAAGTAGGGTGAAATCTCAGAACCTTCACCATTTTTGGTATATACTTGCTGAATGTACAATTTACATTTGCATTGGATGAGATAAAAATAAAATATAGCAACTTATAATAATAGCTAATATTTATTCAGGAAATACTTCTCGAAAGGTACTTTACATAAAGTTATTCCAAAAACTCAGCAAAGTAAGTTATTATTCCCATTTTTTTCACATGAGAAAGAGGTTCAGACAGGATGTGATTTGGGTAAAGCCAAATGGGTAGTAAATAGTAAGTCAGCATTCAAACTAAAGCTTTTCTGTTCTCCTTCCAATGTCATGAAAACTCCCAGTACTACACAATTATAACAATATTAACATAAAAAGCATATAATTGAGGTTTAAATTATGTGGTAGGCTAAAATAACTATAGAAATTCTGAAGAAATTGAATCTGGTGCCAGCTAAATGCCTCAGAAAAGACTGATTTTAGGAAGAAGAATGAAGTAACCAAAGCTATTGCCAAGAGTCTGATACTCAAAAACTTTCCTGGGAAGGCCTCTATAAATCCTACAGTATACAGTGGAGCTATGCTATTTCCTGCCTCAAAAGTGAGGTTATGAAAAGTGAGATTACAAAACAAGAGTATATTCATGACACATATTGAATGATAACCACTCTACCTTTATATATATAGCTCTTGCTTACCCACTGTGCTATTCCTGATTAGATTGCGGGCTTACAGAGTTGGTAAAGGAGTTGACAAAATAAAATATCTTTTCTTTTAATACTTATCCTGAAAAGAAAATAAGTGAAAAACACTTATTACTGATTAAGTACTTAATTTTTATAACCTATTTATAAAATCTTACTAAAGACACTTAAAAGTCCCTGGATATACCAGAACATTGGAAATAAAATATGCCCTCTAAAACTATTTGTTATTTAAAATCCTAAAACGAAAATATTAGAAACCAAGGAACATAGAAGTCAACTGAGTTTTACATAGGCCCCTGAGGTGTGAAAGGGGTAAAGAAAGGAAACTGATCAACAGGAACTGTCCTTTTAACATGTTCAAAGACTGATCTTAGCATAGCATTCTAAATCTGACTTTTTCCCCAGAGGGTAAAGTGAAAAAGTGAAGAAAAATATAATCAATCTTGCAAGTGCTAATGAAAACATGAGCTATTTGTATAAACAACTAAATCTGACTAAAAAAGAAAATTGGGTATTAAATTGAATAGGATTCTATAACTGTGACAGTTAATTTTAGGTGTCAACTTGATTGAATTGAAGGATGCATAGATAGCTAGTGAATCATTGTTTCTGGATGTGTCTGTGAGGGTGATTTTGGAGGAGATAGGCATGTGAGTCCATGGACTGAGTGTGGAAGACCCGCCCTCGATGTGGGCGGCACTGTCCAATCCTCTGGGGTCCTAGATGGAAGGGCAAATTCTCCCTTTCTCTCTTTCTTACTCTCTCTTTTGGAGTAGGACACGCTTTTTCTCCTACCCTTGGATATTGGAACTCCAGGCTCTTCAGCCTTTGGACTCTGAGATTTGTACCAACAGCTTCACATGGCTCTTGGGCATTTGACCTCAAACTGAGAGTTATACCATTGGCTTCCCTGGTCTCCGGCTTTACAACTTGGACTGAGCCACACTACTGGCTTCTCCGGTTCTCCAGCTTGCAGAAAGTTATATGGGACTTCTCAGCCTCCATAATCATGTGAGCCAATTTCCCTAACAAATCTTCTATCATCTATCTATCTATCTATCTATCTATCTATCTATCTATCTATCTATCTACCTATCTATCTATCTATGTATCTAGCTATCCATCTGTCTTATTGGTCCTGCCTCTATGGAGAACTGTGACTAACACAGTAGCCAAAAGCTCTCTGCGTCTGGCTTTGAATCTGCTAGAGTAAAACAAATTGGACTCTTTCACAAGTTAAAAAACAGGTATTTTAAATATCTTTTAACAACTGGAAGAAGCACGTCTTACATTTTTTAATACAACAAATATTTATTGAGTAATATTCTGTACTGGAGGCTGTTAAGAAACATAGATGCAATAGACAGAATATATTCTCCCAGTGCTTAAAGAAGCAGGGAATGCTATGGTGGTAATAAGTGCATCCAAGTAAGTGTTTGAAGTCCATGCTTAATAAGAAGGTAAGTGGAGTGGACACAAGGAAATGGAAAAAGAGAGCTAGAAATTGGTAACCAGATGAGGTACAAAAAGCTATCCCCAGAGACATGAGACATGCAAGAAGCCTAAGACTGGAGTTACAACATCAAGATCTTGAAGACCTTCTATCACCCTCATGGAACTGATCCTTCTGAGAGCACTGGCAGCAGAAGGATACAGGACAGGCTTGATCATACTTGGAGGAAAAGCAAAAATACTGAGACAGTGCAATAGCAGTATGAGATTTGAATATACTAAATTGGATTCTATTCTAAAATTTTTAAAGGCTAGGACATCATTACTTTTTTTTTTTTACTTTAAGCTATGAAGTCATAAACCAAAAAAGTAACTGCTTAACCACAAAATAAGATAGATTGGATTTCATTTCCCCCATGAGAATAGCTAATGGGTCCAAATGTAGCCAGTAGGCACCAGAGTTCATTTTAGACAAAGAATGGTCATTTTTAGGAAAATATTGTGATAAAATGTTTAGAGAAGGAAAGTGTGACCCTGAGGACATGGATTAGATACTCCCACCAAGGAGAGAGCTAAACTACTCTGTCCAAGAAGTCAACTGTAAGTCATTGTGGAAAACAAAGGAGAGAAGAAAGTAAAAGCCTGATAAAGTGGTAGGTGGCTAGAATCCCAGTTGGAGGACATGGCCCAGAGGCTTTTGATGAACAGGGAAGTCTAATATACATGTTGAAATTAACTGCTAAATTGGTCCATTCCTTTTTACCATTTCCACCGAATCTCTAGTCAGCATACGCAGATGTTGCATGCCAGTAGTATTTTGGAGGGAGAAAATCAAGAAGGGTTTATGTGGGAATGAGATAACTACCCAGCTGCAAGATGCACATTGGACAATATCAGCAGATGCCAGAAACCAGAGCCAGATGTAGCTAAGAAAAACAAACACCTCAGAGTTTGAAGAAATCTTAGGAAGGCAATAGATTTCTTAAGGGCAAGGTGACCCAAGCTGACATCTGGGTAACATGGATAAGAAAAGACCCTTCTTTAGTATTGCCTGATTTAGATCTTGAAATGGCAAGGGAGTGATTTTTCTGTGAAATAAATTTAGATATATTCAATTTGGCAGACTTTAAAGCAAAGTGCACCATTTAGCTATTCCCGTGGACGTGAGGAGTTTTACTAGATTAAGACTTGAAGGAATTTTAAATAGCTATATATATTTTCAATAAAAAATTAATTTCACTATTGCTTTTTCTGTACAATTTGACAAGTATATATGCTGATTAAAATGAATTCCACTTAGTGTTTTTAAACAATAATAACGCTCAGTCTTTAATATGTTCCAGTTTATTTTCCAGTGACAGAGTTTATTATGTGATTATTTAGGCCGAGTGGAGCAGACACCCCAAGTAACATAGCTTGCAGAAGAAGGGAATTTGTGTCTCTTTTCACATATAAATCTAAACTGAGGAGGAAGCTCTGCTCAGCAATGTTATCAGGACTCAGGTTCTCCTAGCTTGTAGTTCCACCATTCCAGGGATATAAAATTAAAAATATAAATATGTTAGCTGAACTCCGGTGCTACTTAAGTATGTTCTCCCAGTCACTGCATGCTGACTCGTCACTGGATCTCAGACTGTTATGGGTCTCTCAGCTCTCTGTAACCCCAAAGCGAAGACATGGCATGTATATCTCACCTTCTTCTCCAAAGCACAGCACACACTAGGTGATCATGTTGGCAACCTTTACTAATGCTAAAAGATAACATGAAATCACAATAGGGAGGAGGTACAAAATGTAGATAAGTAGGCATCACTTCTCTCACCAGCCATACACCTCCTGGTAACTCATTGGCTGCTCCTCCCTTCAGCTCCTTCCAGATGCCACTAGGTAGTACAGTCTATGCATCTCATATATCAAGAATGCTCTTTTGATGTCTTTCTCCATAAGTCTAGATCTCTAATCTTTTGACAAGTATCCAGCTTCCCCTGAAGGGAGATTAAAAGTCAGTTGACATTTTAATAATGTTGGTAGTGATACACTTAAGCATTCGTATTTGTTTTAGTTTTCCCATTCGGAACGTCCCTATGAAGAATGGGTAGATACTTGCCCTAGAGCCGTATGATTGTAAAGCTTCCTGCAGTGATCCTTTTCAGAATGCAGGAAGCCCTCACCCACTCCACTGCCACATAGGCTAATTTCTGCTTCCATCCTAGAATTGAGAAACTGGTACAATTTTTGTTTCTACAGAAGTTTCTTTCTTGGAGAGACCCATCAGTCTTGTAGAGATCCATCACTATTAGCCCTATGTACTGCATGTACTAATGAATATTGAGCCATCGCCCACTATGTGTATTGTCAGTTATGAGCATGTCTTACCTCTCCTCATAGATGGTGGTAAGCCTGAGCTCTCTTAAAGGCAGGGATATTCATATTTGTAATCCCACTGAATATAACGTAGTGCTTTCTGCATATACGTATAGGAAATTAATGAGTATTAAATGGGATAAATTTAAGCAAGAGCGGTATACGTAGTCTAATATGGAGAATGCAGCCTAAATAACATTGTTCAATAGCTTTCTATGATGTTGGAAATGTCTATGTCTTTACTACATCTGTAGTCACTAAGGTGCAAGTGGCTATTGAGCACCTGACATGTGGCTAGTGTGAGTGAGGAATTAAATTTTGTGTATTTAAGAATTTTTGTTGTGAGATTGAGTCTCACTATGTTGTCCAGGCTAGTCTCAAACACCGGGCCTCAAGCGATCCTCCTGCCTTGGCCTTCCAAAGCATTAGGCTTACTGGAGTGAGCCACAGTTCCCAGCTGGAATTAAGTTTTTTATTTTAGTTAGTTTTAACTTATTTAAATTTAAATGTAAATAGCCACATGTAGCTACTGGCTATCTCATTGGGAGGGTAAAGAGAATATACAACAAAAATCTCTACCTCCTTTGTTTTTTGAAGTATCTTTTTCTTTCTATTCCAGAATAAACAGGATTCCCAGGAGTGACTTGGTTCTGAATGACTTGGAAGTCAAAAGGAAGAGTCCGTTTCTCCAGTAACAAAAGTATGCCTGACAAGAGGCTCTAAGCTGTCCTGGATGCCAATCTTTGTGCCGACTACTTTACAGTGATTGATTGCTCATACTTCACGGCAACCCTGTGGAATAGATAACATCATCATCCCCCTTTTACTGAGGTGTGGGGAAGTTACCTCTATTGCCCATGATCATAGTTTAGCTGGCGCTGCTTTATAAAAGAATGAATGAATAAATTAATGAATGAATAAGTGTGTTGAGATTAATTTCTCAGACATGGTCTAAATGGACTCACTTCTCTCTAGTGAGTATTGTTACCTCTTCATGATAAGATGAATCATAGAACTGCCACATTCTGAAAAGAGCATGTGAGAAACCATTCCTTCTTTCTCTGCCCCTCACTCCTTCCAAGTTGCAAGTGTCAGCACCTTTGCTTCATTTGTGCTGTGCTTTGCAAGCACTCAGGGAGGAAAGGCTGGAGCAGGGATTTTCCCACAATCAGACCCTAAAGGCAACTAGAAAATGCTCCCCACCCTTTTCTTTTTTTTTTTTTCAGGGAACCAGACTGACTGATATGAATGATGTTTGTTCAGGAAAAGTACTTAAGGAGACAAAAAGTGATATAGTTTTTGAAGGAGAGATGTCTAGGGAGAGAGGGTAGGAAATTCAGAGGAACTTCTTTTAGCCCTTAGAACATTACCAGAGTTTTTGTTTGGGCTTTATTTGTGCATATGCTTATTTGTTTTTTGAGGTTTTTTGTTTGTTTGTTTTGCTTTTTTGAGACAGGGTCTCACTCTGTTGCCCAGACTGGAGTGCAGTGGCACAGTCATGGCTCACTGCAGCCTCCCGGGCTCAAACAATCCTCCCACCTCAGAATCCTGGGTATCTGAGACCACAGGGATGTGCCACCATGCCCAGATAATTTTATTTTTTGTAGAGACCGGGTTTTGTCATGTTGCCCAGGCTAGTCTTGAACTCCTGGGCTCAAATGATACTCTTTCTTAGCCTCAAAGGTGCTGGGATTACAGGCATGAGCCACCAGGACCAGCCTGCTTTTTATTCCCAAAAGGCAGAATCCAGTGTCTAAGACCTCACACGCTCTAATTAAGTAAGTGCCAGAAAAGGGCATTCCTTCCACCTGCACTCAGTAAGCTTTGCTAAGGTTGGTGCTTAAAGAAGACATGAAATCATACTGGGTAGGAGGATGGGAAGAGAAATTCATTACACAAATGGCTAATTATGTAGGAAATGCAATGGAGCAAAACTATCCACCCCCAAACTGGATCATGCATGATCTTTTGAGGTTAACGAAAGAAATGCCATGGCAGAAATGATGAAAATCTGTAAGAATAAAGTTCTTGAAGCCAATCTTGTCATTCTTGCTGCTTTCATCTCCTTGAAATTCGGCTTATTATTACTAGAAAAATATACCACAAGATGAAGTTATGTTCCAAAAAGAAAAAAAAAGCATTGCCTAGAGCAGGAATATTATTTTCCTTTATGATATTTTACATATATGTAGTTAAGTCAGCCCAGCAATTAATTAGATCCATGCAAATGTTTGCCCTGTCCTTGTTAAAAGATGACTGTGATTTGGTTTTAAATATATTTGTGTAAAAATATGTTTTCATCTTTAACTGTTTATTTGGATGGGCTGCTGTGAGCATCTAGTACACTCCATGATTTCCATTGTGATGGTGTTATTACATATTGCACAACAAGCAGGTGTTGGTGATAATAACATACTTGAAAGAACACCTATAGTCTCACAGCAGGCAAGAATTTGCAATAGCACTGTAGGAATAAATAAGGAAGCCAAGATGGTAGTTGCTATCAACACTTGGATTTGAACACTTGGGTTAATGACATCCATGTACAGAGAGAAAAAAAAATAAGGGGCACTCCTGCAGGCCCCTGGCAATTTTTAAACTTCAGTGCTTCTTATTGAGACCCTACTATGTGCATGTATGCAAGACAGTGCATTAGGCCCTCAGAAAGATAAAGATATGATGTGGCATCTGCTACATAGAACATCTATTTTTGCCCAGTTTTCCTTCTCCTCGATATGACATCTCGATTTCCCACATGGAGACCCATTCCTCCATCATTGTCAGTGAGGCAAGAGAATCAGGTCTGGAGGCAGGGAACCTAAGGCCTATTTGTGCTGACTTCCTAGAACTGAATCAAAAGGAATCAAACTGAATCAAAAGTGTCCCAGGTGAAAAATGGAAAGTTCCTCAGATTGGTCCCCCACTGCAACCAATCAGACTGGTCACTGGCCTAGTCTTCACTTGCATAAGGATATAACTTTGTAACTTCACTTCAGTCTCTGCTTGGTCCCCTCCTGCAACCAATCAGATGCTTGCATAAGGTGTAACTCTGTAACTTCACTTCAGCCTCTGATTGGTCGCTGAAGGCAACCAGTCAGACTGGTCACAGGCTTCTACTTCATTTACATAGGATCTAACCAAGTGACCAACTGGAAACTTCCAGAGGGTATTTAAACCCCAGAAAACTGTGTAACCAGTGCCCTTGCCATGCTTGCTTGAGCCTGCTCCCACTCTGTGGAGTGCACTTTCATTTCAATAAATCTGTGCTTTCATTGCTTCATTTTTTGTTGCCTTGTTTGTGCATTTTGTCCAATTGTTTGTTCAAAACACCAAGAACTTGGATGACTCACAGTAAAGACTCTCCATTGGTAACAGTCAGGACACAAATTTAGGTACTAGAGCCCCTGGCTTCAGGTTTGGCTTCTTAATCCAAGGCTGGCCAACTTGAATCTCACTGATTGGCTAGTGTCAGGTTCACGACTATGCCAATTGTCATGCCCAGGGCCAGGTTCCAGCTCATGCTGAGGTCTGAAAGGAGTGGGTGGATAAGCAGAAAGAATACTCGGGGTGCCGTAGACAGGTGAAAGATGATTTTATTCAGCAGCAGCTCTCATCAACAGCTTTCTCACACTGTCTGCCTTGTCTTGGCTGCTTAGTCTGGTGGCTCCCACATACAGATGTGCAGCTGGCTCTCCCTTGCCTTCAGGGTCAGCAGCTTAACTCTTTCTCTCTCTGGGCATGATCAAGCTGAGCTGTGTCCTGGCTCCCCTCTGTCCATCTGCAAAGACAGACAGCTCTGCCTCTCTCTCTCTCTCTCCCTCTCTCTTTCTCTGGTTGCAAGCACCTATACAGTGTCAGCAGGGCAATTATATATTTTACAGACAATAGTGCCTTAGAGCCAAGTGATGGCCTTCCCATGTTATTGCTACATGGCTGTGATAATAAGTAGAGTTACATGCCTGTGCTGTAAACTCACTGAGTTACACAGGGTGTAAACATCCTACCTCTGCCTATCCTTGACCAAAACACAGCCATGTTCCTTACACTCCATACCCTAGGCCAAGGGAGACATAGGCCTTGGATACATGGGTTATACACATAAGCTTTGGGTACATAGGCTTGATATACATACACAGGCTTTACACATAAGTTTTGGGCACATAGGTTTGATATACAGGCATGGCACACAGGTCTTACATTCCACCCCCTAGGCTGAGGGAGTTCTCTTAGTGAGGATCTGTGTACATAGGGCAGCACCCTGAACTCACAGGTCACAGCAACAATATAGGGAGCAACAACCTATCACTAATATTCCTGCTATGCTACCTATGATTATGAGAGCCCAACATAGGCCAGAGCCCAGAGATGCTCAACGTCTCTGTAGGGGGTTGTTAGTAAGGGGCTCAATCATCTTAATCTCCTGTGTCACCCCTTGTAAGGCTGCCGTTATGTTCTGGTGGTTGTCAGGGATAAATGTACAACATTGTGTCCCTACAAGGGCACAGGTGCCACCATGGGCAGCTGTGACTATGTCTAAGGCCATCTGGTTTGGCAGCATCGCCTTCCTGATCTGATCAACATTATCAGTTAGTAAAAGGAGAGCAACTTAGGTGTAACTTGGGCCCTGAACTGTGTGTCTGCAAGGGCTGTAACTTGCATTTCTGCAGTAATGACACCAGCTTTAGGGATAGTTCTTGCTAAGGGGTACAGCCACCAAGGGGCCCACTGCACTCGCAAAAAGTGGGAATGCAGCACCTTCCAGTCATGCAGGTGACTAGGCAATGTGGGAAGCAAGTGGCAGGCACATAAGGCCACCCCCAGGTATAACGTCCAGTCTAATTGGCTGGCAGATATGGCCATCCAGTTGTCCCCACAGACCCATAAACTTCCGAGGGGCACAAAGTCCATGGGGGCCTGGCCTTGGTATGGCTGCTTGTTCCACCACCGCCTTGGTATGGCGACATGTGTTATGTCTGCACAAACCTCAGCAGGCAATCATCCCACAGTGACTTTACCTTGGTGCTGCTTTATACATTGTGGTACCTGCAAAGGAGGGACCATGTGTTCTCCCATTAGCCAGCCCCATCCATCATGGACACTATGAGTCAGCCAGGGGGCAGGCTTGCCATGGGTTTTCTGACGCCCCCTATCCAAGGCTCGTTGTGTTGCATCCCGACCATTGTCCATGGGAGCCCAAGTCTCTAGCCACGTCCAGTTATTTATAGAAGCTGGATGCATGTGCCAGGGCAACCGTCCACAGCTGGTGCTGGAAGGGCAATGCAGATCCAACAGCTGGAGACATTGGTCACCTTGACGTAGGTGTGGGCCCAGTCCGCAATGCTGTTTGAGCATGCCAACCTATGGCCAACATGACAATGCAAGCACAGGTACTAACAGGGGTAAATCACATCCCTCAGGCAAAATACAGGCCAACTTTTCATCTCTGGATGACAGTGCAGCCGCCAACGGCTTCTGCCCTGGGTGATACCACACCTTATCCACTTCCCATGGTTCTTTTGGGTCCTGTGCCCATGCCAAAGTCACAGGGCAACTTATAATAAGCTACACAGGAGGGTCCCTTCCCTGGCTATTCCGCTACAAACAGTTAATCACAGAGGCCACACATTAAATAACTAAGTAGTAACAGGTAAATCATACTGCAGACCCTCCCCACAGGGGGCTACCATAGCCAACCATATGCAATGAGGGCCTTGAAGGGTCCATGGCCAACACCGGGTTTTTCTCTTTCCCTGCCTTATTGGGGCAGGCAATAACAGATTACCATTCATCCCCATACCTGGTTGGAGAAGGTCGTCCTTCCTCTCATAGATCTGGCCACGTGGCCTGGCCCTACATGGGTCAGTAACTAACTAGCTAATTCTGTAACTTTCAGGTAATTAATCACAGGGTTAAGCCTCAATAAACTGCCCAGCTATTGCTTCAGATTACCATAGGTGTCACCTCCTTGGTGATCACCATCCACATTGTTCTGAGTTCAACTTATTAGCTACTTTGCCCACACTTGGTATTAAACCATTTAATGTCAGTACTGGGCAGGACTGCAACAGCAATCCAGGCAGCAGCAGTACTCTGGCTAGACCTATCTGTATACCATGCCTTATTAGGAATGGGAGGAAGCCCTTCATTACGGTAAAGGCTCAGGGTCTAGGGGTGCCTCGGGCCCCATGGCCTTATTTTGCATTAGGACTACAGCCCCTAAGATCTTTTGTAACTCAGCTGCTGAGGAACTTGTACTCAGTGTACTCCACTGTTCTAAGTAAATGACCCACTTTGCTAAAGTGGATGTCTGTGCTGTCCCAGTCTGTGGGGGTTGCTATCCATGAGCACATCCATCCTGTTATTGGGTAAGTCATCTGCACGACAACAATAGCCTGACGTACCATGCTTTTATGAGCCTGAAGGGCAGCATATACAGCTACTAACTGCTTTCTCAGTCTAGGGGTGAGGGGTAGTTACCCATGAATGCACCCATCCCACTATTACTAACTGCTTCTTTATCAAGGATTACCAGAGCTCAGCTTCCTTCTATACTCAAGACGGAAGGCCTATTGGCATACTCAGACACTCTGTGTGCTGTTATAGGCCCTAACTCAAGCTATCTGTAGTCATTGCACTTTTAGCTTGAACGGGCACCCCTGGTTGACTGCTCACAGGGCTTGTGCCTGCTAAATAGCCCACTTAGCTACCAGATATGCTGTCTCAGCTGCATCATCCCAATCTCAGGCAAGAGGGGCATTGATACTCCTAAACCTTCAAGAGAATCAGAGGTTAGCATAACATTATCAATAAGATCATGAAACACGGTGGGGCTTTGCATATAGCCCTGCAGCAACACTACGAAAGTTCACTGTTGCCCTCCCATGAAGGCAAACTGTTTCTGGCTCTCTGGAGCAATGTCAGTGGAGAAGAATGGGACTTAGTTAAGTCCCATCACAAAGTGGTACTGTCCCAGTTCCATTGTCAAGCAGTCCATCAAGTCTGTGATGGAAGGTCCAGCTGCATGCAGAGGAGGTGGTACTTTATTTAGTTCCTGATAATCCACTGTCATCTGCCAAGTCCCATCAGGCTTTCTGACTGGCCATGCCAGAGAACTGTAGGGGCTATGGGTGCCGCACACTATTTGCACCTCCTCTGACTTCTTAATAGTCTCAGTTATCTCTGTATGCCCCCCTGGCAAGTGGTATTGATGAGTGCAGGTAACCCACCTGGGTTGTGGCAGAACTTGGGGCTGGTGATGTGTATGTCCACACAGGACCAGCTTTACTATGTTAGCTCAGACTCTGAATTCTCCAGCCCTGGTGTGCAAGTCCAGATCATGCAAAATGTCCACCCCCAGAATATATTCAGGTATGGGAGAGACATACACGGTGTACAGGTGGGGAGCCAAGTGGCCAATGCCAAGATGTAGAAACACAGGTTTCACTTCCACCAATCGGCCCCCATAACCATCAATAAGTGCAGCTTTGCCTGGACACTTATCTGGGTTCCCATAAAAAAGACTGCAGTCTGCACCAGTATTTACCAGAGCTAGGACCTGCTGTATATTAGTGTGGGACCAGTGGATTGCCAGCTCCACATATGGCCTCTGGTCATCCAGCTCTCCCCCAAGCTGAGCACTTCAGCCAGTTCTCTAATCAAACAAGAAAGGCCTCGTATCTTCACCTGTCTGCAAAGAGTCCTTGAGTTGAAGTGTCCGGGTAGGGCTGGGTTGAGTAACATTGTTTTGCCCCCTCTTGGGCATTTTCCAGAATTGCTGTTCTGGGGACAATTGCCTCCACAGAGCCAATAGCATTCCGTTGGGTTGCCTGTCAGTTTTCTCCTGAACAACCCCAGCTCCAATTAAATCAATCCACATCTCCATGCGGGTCACCAGCTGTGGCCCCATTTTATCTCGTGGGGTGGCTGTGGATGAGGCATCTTCCGTTCTTTATGGTATGGACTCCCCAATCCCGCTGATAGCCTTCTGCCACCCCGAGGGCTGCCATAGCAGTAGTCACTTCAAGTATGCGGCACCCCACATACAAGGTGAGGACAGCGGCCAGAGAGCCAGAAACACTCAGGGGACACTGAGCCCAGCACAAGATCCCTTATGTGGGAGGTAAGGCATTCATCATTCGGCCCCCAGATATTCAGATCAAACATAGCCTGCCGCATACCCGTCTCCCAGAGTATCTTGCCCTTGTGCTAACCTGTTGGCACAGCTGCAGCCACTGTGGGACTGAGCATGTACTTCCCACAGTGCAGTAAGAAACACCTGTCCAACTCTGCCAGCCAAGGTGCATTCCTTCTTGGTGCTGTGTTCTTCCAGCTGCTTCGGTGCTTTCTCAACACTCACGGGAGATCCATCCACTGCCTCCCACGTTTCCACTGGGGCTCATCCAAGCAGCACTACTGCCACCAGGTACCACAGCTCATGCTGTGGCCACATAGCTGACCTGGGAGCCCTCAGGGGCTGAAGACTCACTCACCTCATCCTGCCGACATTGCCAAATGTCAGGTTCATGACTATGCCTATTGTCATGCCTAGGGTCAGGTTGCAGCTCATGCTGATGTCTGAAGGCAATGGGTGGATGAGCAGAAAGAACACTTGGGGTGTTGTAGGCAGGTGAAAGATGATTTTATTCAGCAGCAGTTCTCATCAACAGCTTTCTCACACAGTCCACCCTGTCTTGGTTGCTTAGTCCGGTGGCTCCCACACATAGCTGTGCGGCTGGCTCTTCCTTGCCTTCAGGGTCAGCAGCTTAATTCTTTCTGTCTCTGGGCACGAACAAGCTGAGCTGTGTCCTCAAGCTCCCCTAGTCTGTCTGCAAAGATGAACAGCTCTGGCTCTCTCTCTCTGGGTGCAAGCACCTGTACAATGTCAGCAGGGCAGTTATATATTTTACAGACAATAGTTGCTTACAGCCAAGTGATGGCCTTCCCATGTTATGGCTACATGGCTGTGACAAGTAGAGTTATATGCCTGTGCTCTAAACTCGGCTGAGTCACGCAGGATGTAAGCATCCTACCTTGGCCTATCCTTGACCAGAGCACAGCCATGTTCCTTACAGCTAAGTGTGGACACATGACCAAAGTCTGGGGCAATTAAGAGCCATAACTAGGACTTTTGTAGAGCCATGAGGAAGAGGTGCTTGATTTCACAGGATGTTGCAAGATTGATAGGATTTATACCTGGAGCTATGGATGGCCATCTTGCCGCAGCATGAGTTGCACCTGCCTGAGAACAAAACCAAAGAAAGAGAAACGGAGCTAGAAAAATGTGATCTGTATTGCTTGAAGTCAGCATCTACCCATGTTTGAAGTTCACCCCTTAAACTTCTCAGTTATGTGAGCCTATAAGTGTTCTTTTTTACTTAAGCCAAAGTAAGTGGTGTTTCTGTGGCTTATAGTGGAAGAATTCTGCCTAACACATCTCTCTCTAGGAGAGTTTTCACTTAAGGAAGAAAAGCTAACACTTATTGACACCTAGCATCTGCCAGGTAGTTTAAGGACAATGTTCTCATATCAGCTTATATCTACAGGGCATAGTATTCCCACTTTATATATAAAGAGTGCTCTATTGGGTGGTTCTGTAATTTGATTAACATATTCACCTGTCTTCAGACATTTATAGTGTTTCTAAGTTTTGAAATTTATAAACCAGTTGCAACAAGCTGGTGTTTGGTTTGGTCCTTACAGTATTTTTGAAATCTAAAAAGCATTAGATATAGAAATTTGCCATAGTTCCCACTACTTGCTGTCTGCACTAGGTGAAATGTTTTGCACCTTCACTAACTCCCATGTCTGGCCCAGTAAGCAATGGAGCTTTCAATCCTTATAAAATGTCACAATGAATATTCTAGCACTTACAACTTTGTCTGCTTCAATTCATTCTGAATATAAATTCTTAGAAGTTGAATTTTTAGGATGAAACGTTTGCAGTTTCACAGGAATCTTGTCATATATTTACAACCTACCTTCTAGATGGTTGTATCAATTTACTCTCTGACCAGATGTGCAAGTTTGTGCCTCTTTTCCTACACTCACACCAACCTTGGGTGTTATTCTTTTCAATCCTGGACACTCTGATAGGTAAAATTGTTATCTCTTTAATAAGAGTACTTGACATTTCTCTATTATTAATTAAATTGAGTATATGCATAAATATGTAGAATATTCATATTTCTTTTTTCCCTTTCTTTCATGATTTTAGAATTTCCTATTTATGTATCCAGTCCCTGAATAGAATTTGAACAGACTTGTAGAAACTGGCACCAGCTGTGGGGTGGGGGAGACTTTAAGGAGGACAGGGACTATGAAGAGTAAATGTACCATCCAGTCCCATAGGTCTTAAACCTACAATAAGGATCTGACAGCAGAAAGCTCTTCTTCCTACTTCTGCAGCAGTGAGCCTCTGGGAAATGAGATAGACTGAACTTGGAAACCCAAGGAAAGGCTGAAGTTAGATTGTTGTATCAAACTGATAGGCCAGGGACTGCTTGAATGTGACTATATGTCACCCATTCTCTCGCTTTATTTGAAAATCCTCTTTGGAATTGGCAGACATCTTGTGAGGCAGGAGAATAGCAGAGGAAGTCAGAGGTGAAGGGGGCCCTTGGACACAGGCTACCTTAAGCAAAAGCAAAAACAAAACAGGTAAGATAGCAGAAACAGAACATGTGAAATAAGGGCAAAAGCAGTAGGTAGATAAGAAAATAAGCAGTGAGTTGGAACACACAAGATAAGGAAAATAAGACAGAAGGACTAGCAGAAAGAATTTGGTCACAAAAAGAAAACTAAGGATGAGCAATTGGCTTACAAAAAATAAAGTATGGTTAAGGCACAATGAGGGAAAAGTAAGGATGAGGAATTAGCTTTCAAGAGAAAGTGAGGGTAAACCATTGAGGAGAAACATATAAAAAGCCATGAAATGTAATAAACAAGGGCTGATTTCATCTTGCAGAGGTCAGTGTGCTCTCCCTCTCTGAGAGTGTAATACTGGGCTTCATAAACTTTTGCTGCTTTGCTTTGCTATCTGTATATGTCTCATCCAATTCTTTGAGACACCGAGAGCCTGCAACTGTGCGGCACCATCCAGTAGCATCGATTAGACGAGCCAGCGAGGATACTTTATTTTTCTTTATCTTTTTCTGTCCTCTTGTGTCCAGGCTGCTCCCTTGTGGGCAGCAGTCAGGCAGTTAAAAGCCATTAGGGTGCCTGCTGCTGGAAGACTCCTATGACAGATAACCTGGTTGGGGAACAGAGCAATTAGGCTGCCAGGCACAAGACAAATCCCTGCATCAGTGAGATGTATATGCAGCAATAATATCATGACTTCAGATCTTTCCTACTTGTGAACAGACATGTTTATTTTATGGCATATTTAGGGATAAGTGGGCAAAGGCATTAAATCCCAATAATAAATTTAGGCCAATGCAGGACAGTTTTCCTAAAGAGAGAATTACAATGGCTGCAGATGCTATGTGGGGAACTGAAATGCTCTCATTAATTTTATACTTGGGAACTTTTTCTTGCCTAAACAAAGTAGGGATTTTGTGTGCTTGGGATGGCCCTGACCTAGGGGGACCACCTTGTGTAACAGGCTGCATGTTAACCCAAGGGACATGGTGGAACATATTACATTATTTTCTCCATTGTCCAAATTAGGGCATTTTATTCCCTTATTAAGAGGCCAGTCCGTAACAAATTTAAGCTAGGCAGTCTGCAATTCCTTGCCCTTCAAAGTATAGGTACCAGAGTAGTTAAGGAAACCATTTGCGGGAAAAAAAAACTAACTTGGCCAGCTACAGGGATGCCCAAAGCCAAGGGAAACTTATAGGTCACCGGCTATGGCAGGATCCTCCTTCAAGTGGCTCAAGTGGCACCAGCACCTATCTAAGGTCAGAAACATCTGACACTCTAAGGCCAGAGATGTCTGGAACACTAAGAAGAGGACCATACAGGGGATGCCCTAGTGGACCTCATCTCTTGCACAGGCACTCCACAGGGGATGTCCAATGAGATGCATTAGACCAGAGATCCTTACGTTTTCCCTTATTCTCTTCCACAGCTAAACATGGGAAACTCTGTCTCAGTCCCACCCGATTCTCTCCTCGGCTGTATTCTCAACCACTGGGAACAATCCAACCCTGAAAATCTGTGGGAAAAACACCTAATATTGTACTGTATCACAGTTTGGCCACATTACCAGTTAGCAAGTCAGGAACAATAGGTGGTCAATGGTAGCCTTAATTTTGACACCATCCTGCAGCTAGATCTGTTCTGCAAAAGACAAGGAAAATGGTCAGAAATTCTGTATGTTCTTTATGGCCTTATATCAAAATCTATCCATGTGCAAAGTCCCAAGGAAAGGTCCTCATAAGGGGAATCCCAAAGCAGAATTAGACATAATAGATGATCCCCTACATTATGGACACCTAAATTTCATTTCTTTTTGACACAGGGGCAAATTACTTTTTCCTTAGTGCTTATGCAGAAAAACTTTCCTCTCTAAGAGTATTGTGGTAATAGAAGGAAAGCAGCAAATTAGATTTTTCACTCCACCCCTGACCTGCCCATTTGAAACACAAGTTTTACAGAAGGAATTTCTAGTAATGCCAGGCTGCCCAGTTCCCTTAATAGAAAGGGACATTATTATCAAAATAGGGATGCTACTACAATTCAAGCACTGCCCCATGTTTGCATACCCTGAAGTTTATGTGTATCATTTTCCTTCTGCTATTAATGATTTGTTTAATTCAGCATCTCTCTGGACAGCATTAGAGGCCAGAAGCCTCCCAGGATCTAGTCTTATTAAAAAACCTAATTTTGTCTAATTCAGAAGTTATAATATCTAAAGGTCAAATCAAATTAGAGAAGTTAGTCAATTCAAATTATGGACTTAAGAATTGTTACTTACTTCATAATTGGCTACTACTGATCATTTTGCCTATATTGACTAAAGATCAATTCAAATTATGGAATTAAGAATGGTTACTTATGAAGTAAGCTAGAAAGGAACTAATAAGTAGAAGAGGAAAGGTATGAAGAAAAATATGGCTCTGAAGATGTATTTTTTTGGTAAGGAAGGTTATTTTAAAAAGATAATAATGTTGTACAAGAAAGGATTGTCTATGGTAAATTTTGTCTTAAAGTAAAATGGCTGATTATTTAGGAAAGAGAGAAGTTTAGGGCAAGTCAGAAAGTCCAAGCGTGTTGTAGATGTTCTAAGTCATCAGAAGGTTCATGAAGGGGAATTTATGAAAGGAATTTTGTATGTGATCAAGTTGATTATCATCAAAAGGAAATCATTTATAATAGTCTTTCTAAAATCAATCCCCCATATTAAAATATGATTTCCTTAAAGTATTAATTTGTTCTCAATCAGATTGCAAAATGTTCACTTTTAATTTTATAACCTCTTTCTTTTCTAAAAACTTCTCAGTACTTTTACTGCTTTCAATTTTTTTCTCCCCTTGAGAAAACCTAAAATAATAACTCTCTCCTGTAACCTTAAACTCCTGATAACTTTTTCCTCCAATTCTAACTGCATTAACAGGCTAAGGGAACAAGTGGAAGCCAAACCAAGCTGGTTCAAAAGCTTGTTAAACCCTTTTAAAAATTGGCTATTATCAATTATCTTGCTTATATTAGGGACCTTTAATAACAATCTTCATTTTACTACTCTTAGGACCTTGCATTTTGAATTGCCTTGTCCAGTATGTATCTGACTGCCTGGAAGCCCTCAAGTTCCAAATAATAGTGACTCTGATGGCCTTGGAAGAACATCTAGCCATGACCAGCCCAGGCCCCCGACATCTCCCTTAGATAGAGCAGAGTGAGAGTTCCGTGGTCCCCTGTTAGATAGGGTCACCACCCAAAGACAGCAGGAAGCAGGTACAGAAGACAGACACTTGCCTTTCAACAACCCATAAAGATTTATGGGGATCATGTCTCTCAGAGGGAAATGAGGCAGGAGAATAGCAGAGAAAGTCGGGGGCAAAGGGTATCCTTGGATGTAGGCTAGCGTAAGCAATAGCAAAAACAAAACATGTAAGATAGCAGAAACAGAACATATGAAATAAAAGAGAAAGCAGTAAGTAGATAAGGGAATAAGCAGTGAGTTGGAACACACAAGATCAGAAAAATACGTCAGAAGGACTTGCAGTAAGAATTTGGTCACAAAAAGAAAAATAAGGATGAGCAATTTGCTTACAAACAATAAAGTGACGTTAAGGCACAATGAGGGAAAAGTAAGGATGAGCAATTAGCTTACGAGAGTTAAAGTGAGGGTGAGCAAGTGAGGAAAAACATGAAAGTCCGTGAAGTGTAATAAATCGGGCTGATCTCATCTCGCAGAGGTCAATCTGCTCTCCCTCTCTGAGATTGTAATACTGGGCTTAATAAACTTTTGTTGCTTTGCTTTGCTATCTGTGTGTGTCTCACCCAATTCTTTGTTTAAGACACCAAGAGCCTGGAACTGTGCAGCACCATCTGGTAACACCTGCAGCCTTTCTAAAATCTAGTTTACACTGAAGCCAGCCAGGCTTTATAGGTGCCTCTCTTCTTGTACTGAGACCTAGAGCCATCTTCCTGGTGATGTTATCATTTTATGCTATTTAGTATTCATTTTGTGAGTGCCTTTTGAAAAATCTGGGAGCTTGTATTTCCTAGAGTTACCTAATGTTTATGACATCTCTACTTCATCTGAATTAATTTGGGTATTTCCCTTTCCATTTTGTGTCAAGAAATCCCTCTCCTCCATTACTCTCCTAAAAACTGAAGGGGCATGTGATAGATTTGTTCTCGTGTTATTCAGAAGGTTAAGCAGAATGTGCTATGTTCAGCTATCCGATGGATCCACTCATGAACATGTCATGTACCAGTCCCCTATGCAAACCAGACTGATAAAGAATTAAGTAATATCTCATCTCATTGTGTATACTATGTATAGTTTGACTACTCTCTATATAAGAATTAGATAGATGAGCGTTAGAGATTAACTTGTGTATTCATCTATTTACTTACTGCTACAATCAAAAGCATTTAAGGATGCTTATAAAATGGTATTCTGTAAAATAATTACCCACCTCAGAGAGTTTTTGCAAATGCATGAGTATCAAGCACTTAACACAGAACACGTTACACAGTGAGCACACAATAAATGTGGGCTGTAAATCTGTAAAATAAATAGAAAAAGAGATCAGGGCAAAACTGTAATAAAAGCAGAATGTTAATACAAGGAATTAAATGCTTTATGATAACATATAAACGTTGCAAACTGGCAGTTATGCCAATCCCTATTGACTCCAGTGGGAATGTCACCAGGTTTAATTAAGATGCCTAAGAAGAGTTCCAGGGCCAGAAAAAAAAAAAAGACACGAGTTTTATTGGGGGTTTATATACAGGGGAGAGAGTCCAGGGACAGTGGGCTGGGCAGGAGAACCATATGGCCTAGTGGTGGCAGGCTGGGCAGAAAAGCAACTGCTTGCAAACTGCTTACATTCGGGTGCATCTGCCATAGGGGGTCATTCTTAGGGTATGTTTAAGCTATTGCTAACAGATGAATTTACCATACACAGGCTCCCAATTTTTCTCTAAGCTTCCTAGTGCATTTTTTAAAAAGGGTGCATTATATAATTCACATGTTCTGTAAGATAAAAGAACACCAAGTTTTTGTTTCTTTTTTATAGTAAGCCTGAGAGGTTCAGTAATTTACATAAGATAATACATACAGTCACTAATTGAAGGAGACTGTGTTTAATTAAACCCAGCTTTTCTGTATCGCCTTATTTCACATATTAGCATAAGTCTTGTGAGGTATGATTTCTGTAGCTTTGGGGAATGTGCTCTGGATCCTGGATATTAACTTGAGAAGCCCTGAATGTCAATTATAGAGAATAATGCAAGGGAGGCTGAGGCAGGAGAATGGCAGCATGAACCCCGGAGGCAGAGCTTGCAGTGAGCCAAGATTGCACCATTGCACTCCAGCCCGGGCCGCAGCCGCGACTCCATCTCAAAAAAAAAAAAAAAAAAAAAAAAAAAAAAAGAGAAAAGAAAAGAAAAAGAAAATAAGGCAAAACGATGTAAACATGGATTCCTAAATAAAGCATAATTATGAAGGCTTAATCCATCTTCCATATTTAGGCCAACTATTTACACCATTTTCTACAACAATCCAGTGTCATCTATTATTTTCTATTGTGCCCATAAACTATTGAAGTGATCTGGAATTTCCAATAATATTACCATACTAAAATAAAACAGCAAATAAAGTTAAAAAAAATTATAATTCTAAATTAGTTTTAGAGACCAAACACTTCTTCCTCACTCCCACTGATACTTCCCTGTCATCAATATCATGTAAAAATATTCCCTATAACTCAGTATAACTGGTCAGTTTGAAAGAAGAAACTGGTGCAAACTGATCATCTTCAATCTTTAGTTTGCCTCAGAAATACCTGGAGGGTTTGTGAAAATAGATTTGCTGGGCCCTACCCCCAGTTTCTGATTCAGTAGGTCTTGGATGGGTCGTGATAACTTGAATTTCTTATAAGTTCTCGGATGATGATGATGATGATAATGCTAGAACCACATTTTGTAAATCACTGCCTAGACTTGGATGTATCTTATCCCTTTGGGAACTAGCTGCCTGTAGGAAACTTGGGTTCATTTTCTCCAAACTGGGAGGAGGGAGCTGTGATTTTCCAGTATTGCCAGTGTCTAGGTGACTAATTTTGCCTAATTTTGGAGTTCAGTAATGAGTCCACTTGCTTATAAATAAAAGCCCAACATTCCAATATCAGCTTTATGTATGATAAATGTGATACATGATTCCTATCTGATTTATTTTTCATTTCACAACCAGTTTAGAACTCCAGGGGAAAATACAGAAGTATCATTTATTATGCCATCTCTATCCTGACATTATGTATGCCTCTAAAGCTGAAATCCAGAAATAGTATTACTATTCACCAAACACAGATATATAAGCAAAATACAATTTTTGAATATGCATTTTAGTGATGTTCCTCCACCGCCCAAAAAGAAGCGATGAGTCTCAAATACCATGTCAAAGTAAATGCCTGTGCAATTATAAAAATGCAAACTTAATGAGATGGCAAAAAAGATGAAGGAACATTTATTTCTAGGTATTAATGAATGCAAATTTTTGCCGGTGATTCACAATTGTTTGAGGTATATTTGAAATTAATGATAAAGTTTTGATAATTAATAATTATCAAATAATGATAAAGTTTTGATAAAGATTTGAAAATTAATGATAAAATAAGTGCTAAGGTCAATTTAAATCTACTTTAAATGAGGCTGTGAATGAGAAATATTATTTTAAAAAGAAATGTGACTGACCTCAGATAATACTTGCATCCAAATTAGTAAGGTGATAAATTTGCTCCCTGTTCCTGACATCTATCTAGGAAGCTTTGCATATAATAACCAATGAATATAGTTCACTTTCAGCTCTTTTGATCTCAAAGATTCGATAAAGAAATTTCTCTTAAAATACAGTTTTATTACAAGAGATGTTGCGGCAAAGGAAACCAAAATTGCATATCTTGCCATTAAGCCCAGATACCACATGAAAACTACACATTGCGCATTTCCAGTTTCACTGGGAATTTTATTGTGCTTAAACAAAAAATTTAAAAGTTGTGTAAAACGTCATAGATACTCCAACAATTTGGCAACAAGGGTTGAAAAAAACTTCATGTTTTACTATTTTATCAGACCTGTAACAAATATAAAAGAGCTGTTTTTCTAACCTTGGTAAGATATCTCCATAAAAGTCCTGGAATTAGCGTGATGCCCTGAAAGGTGAAGTACTTGCTTCCCCATGTTTTGAAAAGCAGCAGAGCTGTTGATCAGATCATTAGCAGCTCACTAAAAATGCTGAGTCAAAAAAGCACAAATAAAGGCTCTGGGCTCCTTTTTGTACAACTAGTGAGTTAAATAATTCTATATTAGTGAGAAATAGTCCATATCTAAAATATTATATTTGGTATTTTATTAGATAAAAATATTCTAATATATTTTATATGTATACCAAATGAGATGTAAAAATCATTTTAAAATTTTCATTTAAGCAAAATGCAGGTAAATTTTGTCCTGAGAAATTTGACAACTTAAACATATGGCTTCTGAGAACTTTGACAGCTTTTAAGAGGAAACTAATAATAACCCAACCCTTACAGGCTTTTTTTTTTTTTCAAAGTTGAAAATGCTCTCATTTTTAAGAAAGTTTTGGAAAATACTATGTCAGAATTTCCCTATCAGTTCCTACACTGTTACCAATCTCTTCCCAGGAGCTATCTTCAAAGTATAATATAACAGACTATCAGAATAGGAAGTCTGTGTGAAATAGTAATTCTCATTTCTAAATTTATAAGAAAGAAAAAAATTAAATGCTGTAACTTACAGTAAAAGAATTAAAGATAAATATGGCTAATGATGTATAAAATCCTATTTGACTCTTATAACGTGTAAAGACTATTGCTCTTTAAACTATCTAATTTATCCAGTTTAAATCTTCAGATGACAAACCTTGATTGTCTTTATCACTTATTCTAGGATTCATAAGAGAATAAAGAAAGATTAAATGGAAAACTGTTGGGAAACAAGTAGCAATTTTTTAAGTGAGCTTTCCATTATTTTTCTGCATTTATCTTAGAAATGAATTTGTGTTCATAGCTTTATCTTTACAATTACTTAAAAATGAGAAAGTGTTTATGGATCAAAAATGTTATGTATTTTAATGTTTTTCTGTGTGTGCACAAGAACATGAGAACAGATTGAGTTCTCATGAACTCAACAATTTGAGTTCTTACAACAGAAGTAATTATAACTTGACCTAATAAAGAGTGAAAACAAATTATAATCACAGGACATTCTATTTGCTGTAACATAATAGAAATCGGAGACTTACAACTGACACCTAGAGAAAAAGACAAACTGAAAACAAAAGCAAACAACAAATAATAATGAAAATCTTCATGCAATTTGGCTGCATTGCATGTGACTTGGGGTTTTACTGGTAAAGTGGTAAGAACATGTTACATTGATTAGTGCTGGTGGCTAAAAGGGAAAGACATTGCTCTTGTAAGAAGGGGGAAAATAATCAGAGCCTGATTTTGCTCCATAACAGTAAATTTTATAGCTATATGCTTGTGGTTTAAAAAACTTTATTATTAAAATTTTGCATGAAAAAAAGTTTTATTGTGAATCTGAGCTTCTAACCCCTTTGTACTTTATTGAAACAATGAGCTTTTTCTAATTAAAGCATCACATTTATTACGTCAAATATTGAGTTAGAATACAACAAACTGTTTTCAAAACTACTCAAAAATTTTAAATCAAGCGTTTATTGCCAGTATTATGATTACTTTCAATGATTTACAATTTGCGAGATGAGAAAAGTCATCTAATAACTGTTGAAACTCTAAAATGCCTCTTCTTAATCCAAAAGAATTAGTCAGAAAGTTGCCTTGACACATTTGAAGAAAATTAAGAGTAACTACTCCTGAGTTGGTTAAGTTCTTCCAACAAGTCCAAGGGGAACAATATCCTATCAACATCAACAGTACATGAGTGAAGAAATAAAACAACTATTAAGAACTGTGTGGACTGATGAAGGGACATGCGGTGGCCTGGCTCCCACCTGGCCACCAGCCAGCAGAGAACAAATCCCAGCCCTGCTCATGACCACGGCATGACCCATGGTGAGTGTCTTCCATTCCTGAGCCCCCCTCAGCTTCCTCATCTGTTTTTAAAGATAGGATTGCCATGAAAATGAATGTAAAGGTTTCCATAGTGGGGATCTGTGAAATTCTTTTGGTTGAGCCCCCGACATTGAAACTATTTTCATAGTAGTCCAAGAAGTAACTTGCTTTGTTCACTCTCATTCTCTCCTGAGAATGCAATGGAGTTTTTCAGAGGCTACATCACGTAAGATATCACAACAGGCTGAATGCAGAACAGACATGAGAATCCAGCTGTCTCCTATTAAGCCAGACATTACAGTGATTTGCAAACATGTGAAAGAGTGCCTCTCCTCTCACTACCTCATTTTGTTTTTGAAAACACAGCTATTGTTCATAAAACTACGCAATTGGTGTTAACATGGAGTTTTAAATGAACTAATAGAAAATAGATTTGAAAGTCTTTTTTTCTAATATGGTAAATACAGCTATGTAATACATAGCCACAGATATACACACATACACAGAAGCTCTTTAGATACTAATAATATTTTAGAATGTAATGGATCCTGAGACTAAAAAACTGAGACTTATTGATTTAAATCAATTGCCTGACAAAAACTTTTTTTCCACATGAATTAATTCACAAGGCAGAAAGGAATCCTCTGATAAGCTATGTAGCCCAAATTTGCTTTTAAAACATGTAACAACTATCTATACTATTTCTCTACTTTTTAATAAATTGTTGACAGCAATGAGTTCTCAACTCTAGCTGCATGTTAGACTTATCTGTGCAGTCTCTATAACATACTATTGTCTTTGGTCTCACATTCCGTAATTGATATTTTATAAAAGCTCTCTGTCTCTGTGCAGATTAATTTCATCATGAAAATAATAGGTTTAATGATTACCATGTCTAAGTAGGTATCTCATTGCTGAAACCAAAATGCACCAACTCCACCTTGTATCATTACTCTTTCTGTGCATGCTTAACTTCCCCAGCAGACCCTCAGCAATCCAGGGCAGCACGGATGTGAGAAGCATTTTATTCTTCCGGCCTACTTAGAATGCCACAGAGTATGTAAGTGTTCAACTAATGTTAACTGGACAAATGACTGAATGAGAGAATATGTAACCGAGTACTCCCTCTACTTACTTTGCAGTGCAAATGGGATGCCCCAAATGGCCCCCAGAGTGCAGAGCTTGACACTCCTCATCCCAGTGATAGCAGCAACGTCCACAGCTCATTCTAACATCTTACATGTTTCCCTCTTTATCTTCCTAGGGACCTTATGAATAGTGTGTGAATGTTTAGAGGGGAAGACCTCCAGCTTCCATCCTAGTTCCCAGAGCCACTGACTGCCCGGCAGAAATCGACTTTCATGAAACCATGTCAGATAATGGAATGGGGGCCAGATAAAGGCTATGGTGTTGGGGAAACCTCATCCTTGTTGCAAGCTTTCTTCAAGAACAGGAGACTCAGTGCCACTGAACTTAGGATTTGGGGATACAGTCGTGTGTCTCTGAGGTACACAAAACTGCTCAGGAATGCAGTGACAGAGATGCCTCTGTGGCAGAGGACATAACACAGCGTGTGCCATTAAAGCTGGCCTCAGAAGCTACTGACCCATGGATCATAGTTGTGTCTTCTGTGGAGCCAGAACTGGGCCTCTCTTAGCAGATGTCCCCATGTGTCATTCTCAGTTAAGGGAGTTGCACTCTCTGATGAACTTGAGCCTTAAGGGTTACTGCTCTCAAAGTTCCTTGAATTCACAGTTGTTGCCACTTCATGAGATGCAAACAGACCTCAGGAGGCTAATCCTGAGGCCTCACCTCATGAGGCCCCCAAATACCAACACTTTCTTCCTCTGCAACCAACTGATTATTGAGGGGCTGAAGATTTTTTTAAATGATGACTTTATTGAGACATAATTTAAACACCTTGTTATTTACCCATTTAAATTTTACAATTCAATGGCTTTTAGTATATTCACAGTTATACAACCATAATCACCATAATCAATTTTAGAACATCTTTGTAACCCCCAAAAAACCACCTGTCTACATTGGCAGTCACTCATTATTGTGACCCAACCCCCAAAGTTCACAAACCTCCAGTCCTAAGGGACGGGGTTCAGGACAGGCTATGACAAAATATGGATCTTGGCATCTTAAATATTTTAGGCTTAAGGTATTTAAGGAATGGCAAGTGGAGGAAGGACTCTCTGACTATCCCCTGAAGCAGATCACAGGATCCTCAGGGGACAGGTGCCCTTTCTATACCCAATGTACTTCTCCTTAGGGTCCTTATCTCCAAAGAGGGAGGGACACCAAGAAGAAACGAACAAACAGGCCTCACTAAGTTTCCTGTTTATTACCCCTTAGCCCTTTGTCCATCACATTTTTCCATGACTTTCCACTCATTACCAAACCTAATATAAAAACACTCAGGTTTACCTGTTTCTTTAGGTTTTCATTTCCTTGTGATGACTCCTGTGTCATGTAAAACTCATATTAGGTAGATTTGCACTTTTTTCTCTTGTTAATCTGTCTTTTGTGCAGGGCCTAGTCAGTAAACCCAAAATGGGTAAAAAAAAAAAAAAAAAAAAAAAAAAAAAAAAAATTCCTTTTTCTCAGAATTATATTTTTTCTAATCTTTGCAAAATTTCTCTAATTGGTAAATTCTAAAAAGCAGTACATGTATTATTTAGGCATATAGGGGTAACCATTCAAAGAACTTAAAACTAATACTAAAAATTAAGTGGTTATTTTAGGGGAAGTGAGACTTGTGAAAGGGTGGGGGAAGTTAGGGAAAGCGTGAGCCTAATTTTTAGGGTAACTATAGGCATCCACTAATCTACTTTCTGTCTCTGTGGATTTGTCTATTCTGGATATTATTATATGGTCAGCTGTGACTGGCTTCTTTCATTTACACTGTTTTGCAGAATCATTCATTGCAACATATATCAGTATTTCATTTCTTTTTAATTGCCTAATAACATCACATTTTATATACAGAGAAATGACATTTAATTTATTCATTCATGTTGATGGACATTTAGATTGTTCCACTTTCAGATATTATGAATAATGTGAAGATGTATTTTTAGGCCACTAAAAACACAAAAAAATGTCCTTCTCTCAGACCTACATGTGTATAATCAAGGGATTCTTCATGGGGCAGAGGAGAATGTTAGATCTTAAAGTTAAATTTTTACCTCTGCTTAAAACTTGAAATTGGTTGACAATGTCTCTCATTAAACAGAGAAAAAAATGCAAATAATACACAGGAAACAAAATGAACTTACTGAATTCAATCATAAAGTCACAAAAGGTTAAAGAAAAGAACCTTAGAAGAGAGTTAATTTTACAAGTAAAGAAAACTTGAGTTCCAGAGAGATTAAATGACTTGCTCAAGATAACATGCTGTCTTGACTCTTGATGCTGATGGGTTAAAATGTTATGCTCCCAAGTTAAAAAAAAAAAGAATAAAGTTCAAAAGCCTCTCAAAGCAAAAGAAGTAAAAACAAATGTATTTACTGGAAATCTTAAAATGAAACACTTGAAAGCTATTTATTGCCTTCCTTTCCAGCTTCAGGAGCCACACCCTTGTGGTGATAAAAGAGCCATAGGTTACATAATTTTGTTCCTGATGAAAGAGTTTGCACTTTCCCCTCCAGGCTGCAGACACCCTACCATGGGTAATAGAAGAGAGAAGTGTTCCCTGGTAATAGGCTAGTAGGCCAGTGCCAAGCTCTGGGGTCCCAACTGCACAAGCAGAAGACAGCCCGCTCCACTCCCAAGACACATCACTCAATCAAGGAAGGGATGACTTCACTTGCACCACCCATCCCAGCCAGGGGCTTGGACCAGTATTGGACCAGAAGGCCCTCCACTGTGAATGGTGAAAGAAAACATTAGTGTTCTGAAAGTCCAGGCCTTTTGTTATTTTCAGAAAACAACAACAACAGATTTTATGCTTTTGCTTTCTCTGGTTAATCTCTATAAACTCTCAATATCTTTGGTATTTCTCTCTTGGAAAATGCAGTTTGAAAGAGAAGTAGATTTTTCTCATAAAAAGGAAAGCTCCTATATGTCTAACCATTTATGCCACCTACCTCTCCTATCTCCTCCTCCCCTCTTCACAACATTGTTGCAGAATTAATGGATAGTGGGATGTGTTAGGCTACCTGGAAACTTCTTTTTTGTGTGTGTCACCCTTGGGGCATGTGAATTTTCCAACACCTTCACCCCTTAGTCTTTTTTTTTTTTTAATTTTTAGAGACAGGGGGGTTTCACTCTGTCACCCAGGATTGAGTGCAGTGGTGCAGTCATAGCTCACGGCAGCCTCCAATTCCTGAGCTCAAGTGATCCTCCCACCTCAGTCTCCCAAATAGCTAGGACTATAGGCACACACCACCACACCTGGCTAATTTTTTAATTTTTTGCAGAAAAGGGCGTCTTGCTATGTTGCCAAGCTAGTATCAAACTCCTGGGCTCAAGCAATCCTCTTGCCTCAGCCTCCAAACATGCTGGGATAACAGGCATGAGCCACCATGCCCAGCCTTACCCCCTCACTCTTAATCCATCCCTACATTTACCTGCCCAGGCCTGGTTTTCCTAATGAAAGCATGCTCTCCAAATCTTCTCTTCACAAATTTTAGGGTGTGTTTTGATCAGATTTTTATCTGTTCAAAACACAATGGCATCTTTTTGTTTGTTTTAGGGGACTTCAAGATGAAGTCATATCTGCTTTGATTGGGTGATGGGTCTTGGGGGTGCTGGTGGATGCCTTCTACCCCTCCAGTTTGAACCCCAGAACTTGGCATTAACTCACTAGCCTATCACCAGATTTAGCATTTCTTACACACTGCAGGAATGACATAAATTTCTTCTAGAATTTTCAAGATATTTTTCCCATTATTAATTCTCCCCCTTAATTTCTTTTTTCATTAACTTCTTGCCTTTTAAATGCTATACCTGCATTCATTTAATTTTCTATGAATTGGATTGATTCAATAAATATTTATTTATTTCTTAATAAATGCTCACATGTGTTTCAATTCTTTAACCTTAAAACATTTATTTATTTTTGGGAAAATTATGGGCAGGATTTTTTTTGGAAAGTATAGACAAAATACATTCTAAGATAGTTTAAGGCAGTAAAAACTGAACTTGACTTTATCTCTGTAAACAGTGAACAACTATTACCAAGTGTTTATTTGGATGATATTTGCATTCTGTTATCAATTAAAACCTCAGTACTCTTCTTCTTCAGATGAAGACATTGGTCAAAGTTTGGTCAGTGCTTGAATTCCACAAGCAGTGCATTTTGTCTTTATGAACAAGAGTTACAGAAGAGAATGACTTGATATTTCTTAACTCTAGCTTTCTAGACAATCCCACCAATAGGACCCAAAATATATGATTAATTTCATAGTCTTGATATTATTATTAGACATAAAATAATATTTCCTTTCACTCATTTATCCACTCAACAAATGCCTATATAGTTATATCTTTTGCAATTCAGGATCTCAGGGATAAAAACTTGTGATAAAACAAGCAATAGTCATAGAATTAAACTTTTGGGAGGATATTTTAATTCCAAAATTATTTTCTTCTCATTCTCTTTTCACACAGAAGCAGTTGACTTGTAATTTTCTTTTGAATTAAAACATCTTGCTTTCCAAATAATATATGTACCTGATAACAAAATTTCCATGTATAGGGAAAGATTTCTTGTGAATACTTTCCCTAATTTCCCACACCTTTCCACAAGTCTCACTTCCTCTAAAATAACCACTTTTAATGTTTAATATTTGTTTTAAGTTCTTTGAAGGGTTACCCCTATATACCTAAATAATACAGATACCACTTTTTAAAATTTACCAACTAGAGAGATTTTCAATTGATTTCCTAGTATGGTAGATGGTAATTTAGCTCTCTTAAACCAATTCTCACTTTCTGTCCTCCCAGCCTTCAGTGAACATCTGTTTTGTTTTGTTTTGTTTTGTTTTGCTTTGTTTTGTTTTGTTTCTTTTTTGTCCACCCAGCATTTGAACCCTTTGCTATTTTGGGAAATTTTCCCATCTTATAAGGTGAGAGGTAGAGGTAGCTTCTGGCTAGAGAAACTGAAAACACCAGATACTCACTTTCTCAAGCTTCCTTGCACCTGGGTTCATGCATGTGAGCTAGGCTCTACAAATCAGACATACCACCTCAGACTTGGAATCAACAGATATTAACACATTTGTGGTAAGATTGAGTTTCTGGGTAGCAGCAGCAGCAGTGCTAATTGAAGCACCCAGTCTTCATGCCACTTGTGTTTATAATACAATCTCTCCTGCCTTGCACCCCGCGACGAGAGGAATTCCGTTATTAGACCAATTTTGCTGGGTGATTATTCAAATTGCTCCTGGGCTGCAAAGTCCAAGATTCTGCAGTCCTCTAAGTTCTTCACTTTTTCTTCTTAAGTGAGCCAGAGTTGGTCTCTGTTGCTTACAATTAAGAATTCTGACTGACGTACTACTTAATCCTAGTTTAGTAACACTACTGCCCTCAGATACTCCACTAGTCACTTTGCAACTTAAAGCAACATACTAGAGCGCTCCTATCAAACACAAAGAGTACCTCAACTTCCCATTTTGCAAAATGAAGACACTAGTACTCCAATACTTGCGTCTACGTTTCCTCCCTTCTTCTAAGATGAAAACACTAATATTCCATTCTAGAATTATAATCATTTTCTGTGCTTGGTTTATAATTTGATTCTAGAAGTTAAAAACCAATTAGCGATCTTTACTATGTGCCCACATACAAATTATTAAACTCTGAGAGCAGTGTGTGTTATATTTACATTTCTTTGTTACATGTCCTATATACATCATAATCCAATATCATAATTCCTACGCCACTCAAAGAAAAAATGATCCTACAGTTAAGTTGAAAGCCATCTGTTTTTATCGTAGGTCTTTTTCCTCTAACAGAACCTCAAAATTTTCCAAGGCTTATCTAGAGGGCTCCATCTATTCCAATGTCAATTTTCTAGGGTTTCTTCAAATCAATGCATTTGGGACAAAGATGCCACTGTTTTCCTGCTTTTAATCCAGTAGTTCCTGAAAACCGTGTCCTGCTTTTCTTGACTTCGTTCCTTGTTTTATTGGAAAACATGTCTTAGTAACTTTCTAAGAAAAGGTCTATGGAGGACAAACCTTTGGAGTCTTTGCCTTGCCTTTGTGAAGAAGATTGTCATTATGGCCTTCCATTTGACGGCTAGTTTGGCTAAACATAAAATTGTGAGTTGAAAATAAGTTTCATATAGAAGTCTGAAGGTTTTTCTCCATTGTCACTGTTGAGACATATAGCACTGAATGAAATTCTGTTTATTTATCTTTGGTCACTGTTCCTGAAGGAATCTATGATAGAGTTTGGTGAAGAAGGTGAGAAGAGAGTAGATAATAAGAAAGATCCAGAGCAGGAGGTATCATCTGGAAAATCTGATTGGAGATATTGTCCTGGCACAGGCATTAGCAGATTATCTTTGGCAGCTAGGGTAGGAGGGGGAGAAGTTCCTAAAAAGAAAAAAGATTGAGGAGGAGGTGCAAATAAACTCACCGACTTGGCAATTTTGCTTAGTCATTCTGGACTTTCCCACTACAATAAAGATGACTGTTCATCTAGAAATTATTCTCTTAGAGAAATGGCTTATTTTTTTTAAGTCAACACAGCAAATAGCCTTTTTATTCTCCAAGGCACACATACATATGACATATGATAGTGCTGAGATTTTTGCCTCTTCTGCAGAATGGAGGTAGCATATCAGAATATAGTATGAATTTTTTGCAACTTTAATAGCACAGTGAAGAGAAAATTGAATGATCAATGCAGTATATTGCAACTGGAATATTTTCTTATCATGAAAATATAGATTTACATACTAATTATAACTCATACTATTGAGTATTCAAATTTTATTTTGCTTTGTGAACCATGTGGAATGAAAAGCAATCATGCTGTAATGTGGTACCCTGTGACATAATAATGCCTACTACCATTATGATTTCAACAAACTTGGACTGGGATTCAAATGAGTAGTGTGACCCTGAGGGAAATGCTTTAATAATGGCATCCAGTGTTCTCAATTAACACAGGAAAGATTTATGACTTTTCCCCCCCTTTGGTGGTCTCTGTTGAGAAGGAAAAAACATGAACTGCCATTTGATTTTCCACTCAATTGCATCTACCAACTGGCAGACAGACCAACTGAGAGAGTCCGTCCGTTCAGTAGCTGGATTCGCCATGGGTGTGCCCCAGGAGTGTTAGCAAGGCTATTTCTCCGGATCAGAATAGTCCACAGACAGCAACTCTCTGAGGGAAGGCTCCACAACTGAACTAGTAAGACGTGCCTCTGCTTAAAATAATCATAAGGAATTTCTCCCTTCTCTTCTATGGGTCTTAACCTTCTAATTAGCCACCTCTTTATCCTCTGAGAATATCTCAAGTCCATGTCTGATAAGCCACTTCTCAGCAGGGAGAGAACTGCATCTTAAAATGGATTTGATACTTCTTAGTAAACTGACAAATCAGCCGAGGGGTGAGTCAAATGAAAATTTTAGGACTATCGCCCTGCAAAAAAGGTGATGATTGCTATAGGTTGGGAGAGTTATAATCTGTCAGAATCTTCTGTTGCAAGGAACAGCTTAGCCACACAGCAGTGCTCCATGGCGGCTGCCGTCAAGAATCTAAACACGGCTTGGAATTCTCTGAGGATGTTATTCATAAAGGCACAGTTAATCAAACTCAGACCTCTCTTCAGAATCTCACTGTACAAGCCAAACTTATTGCCAATAGAAGGAAGGTGCCAGACCAGAGAAGGTAAGCTAAAATCTGTGTGCCCTGGCTTCAGAACTATGAGGTCTCAACTTAGCCCATTTTAAAAAGTAAAAAAAAAAAAAAAAAAAAAAAAAAAAAAAAAAAAGATTTTGTGTATGTTGTTGCTTTGTTTGTTTTTACATTTATCAAACAGTTGGCTTTCTATTCATACAATCAGAGCTTTGTAACTATCCAAGGATTTTCAACCTACAGAAATAGATATTTTCACTGATTTTAATTTAATTTACCAAAAAGAAAAAAAAATCTCTCCTTTCCTTCCCTCACCCTTTAGAGGAATTCAGAAAGGACGGGTATGGGCCAAAATCACTCTGGCTAGTGTCCATGGTTACCAAGCTGAAAGAGAAGGCAGTTTTCTGGATAAATGGCCTTGTCTTAAATGCCAGATGCCTGCTAAAAGTATTGCAGGCTCTCAGAATCTTTCTGTGCCTCCTCTGCCATCATAAACAGGAATGGTGGATCTTTCAGCAGAGATACTGGCGTATCCCCATGGATTACACCCTTGGCTTCTGAGAAGAATGGTTTTCTTTATTCTTTGCACAGGGAGATCTCTACATATGAAAGGTGAAGTAACTTGATTTCAGTTGTTTTGGAACTAACTTGGAGTGGTGAGAAACTACAGCATTGTCGTGTTCTCACTATCAGAGGTAAGAATAAACATAAGGCAATCTGGGTGTTCTCAATTTGCACAAATCCTGTGTAGGCTCATGTGCTGACTCTTCAATGAACATTTTTCCCCCGCTCTCAACTCAGGGACAAATTTTTCCAGGGTCCTTGAAGATAAATGTGAAGGAAAAGCATAAATAGGCCTGTTTGGGATTCAGCTTCCATAAGGGAGGAAGAGAAGCAGCATCGGTGATGATCATGAGTTTGGTCTTTAACAATTTCCACCCAGCTTTGCTCAAGTCTCTGGTTCTTCACCTACAGGCGAATTCTATGAAAGTTCCTACCTCATAGAGTTGTTGAACTTTTCTATTTAATAGACTACATTTAGGACAGTTTTAGGTTTACCGAAAAATGGAGCAGAAAGTAGACAGAGTTCCTATGCACTTCCTCAGTTTTCCTTATTATTACTCTCTTGCATTGGTGTTATGGGTGGTTGAATTTTAAATTACATTCCACACAGAATGCATGGTATTTTACATGCCAGAGTATGGTTACAAACTTAAACTATCATGTCTGTAATTCAGGACCCTCTCATTTGTTAACAAAACATGTTTTCATTTATTTGATGACATTTAATGAGTCACCATTAGCAAAAAACTCCCCAAGTCCCTACCAGACAACCACATTATTTGCAAAATACTATCTGTGAAGATTTGTTTCTTTAGGTTTAAGATCTGTCTCTCAGTAATATTTCACTGAAATACAAAATACCCCTAAAAGAGAGAAAAGAATAACTATTGTTATCATCAATGACTTTATTGTTAATTAACAAAAGACACAATCCCCATCCAGGCACTGTAGAATGATACTATCCATCAGTGGTTTTAAGAAGAGTGACAAAGAATGTCCAGAGGTTCTTAAGTAGGACAGTGATCAAGAAGACGAACTGGAGTAGTCTTATATGGTTAGATGATTATAGAAGAGAAAATTATGGCACAGGAAAGAAGAAGAAAGGAAAACCAGTTGTGAAAGAAGGGAGTATTGACTCAGCCTTTCTTCAAGGCAAACAGAGTCAACCTCTGAGCAGGCAGAGGGAGGGGAGATGAAGGGTAGACCCCATAGGAGCCTAGATAGCTGGATGTTGTTCACTTTTCTCTCATTGAATATCAATAGGGCCAGATGGAAGAGGATCAAAATAGCGCCAACAGCATGATTATACAAAAGTGAGAGTTGAGAATAATGAACATATTGGCATTCAAGAGTGACACAAAAGCAAGCACAAAAAAACAGACAAAACTCATTCTGGAGCTGGGTCACTGAGGAATGCATGGGTTTTCTAGCTGGCTGCACTTGGGAGAAAAGTTTAAGTCAAGTATGCATATTGCCTAGACGTCAAAAGTATGTAGGAGGCTTTCAAGGAGTTCTCAGGCAAGGCTGACCATTAAAACCCCTTTGAAAGTTTTATAAATATAACCACTTGGGCCCCAGTCCTAGGAGGTTCTGATGGTGGTGAGGGACAGGCAAGTATACTTGTTTAAGCCACTGCCCTGTACCTTAATTAATCATCCTCACTATCAAAAGTGTTGTTCAGGTACCAGAGCTCATGGGACCAAGATACTCTCAGGCTCTGCTGGCCAGAGCATGAACAAGACCTAGCAATTCCCTTTATAGGAATCTACCACAAGGAAACAATCAGAAATGAAGGCAAATTTTACATTCAAAATTGTTTATTGCAACTTTATGCGTGTTAGCAAAAAAGTAAGATAAACTGAAGTTTAATAATAGGGAAATGGCATATCCATATTATGAAATGTTATATAGAATTCCAAAATTGTTTTCCAATAACTATATGATACAGAAAAAAATGATATAATGTTAAGCAAAAAGGAAAAATCCCAGGAAGACAAATATGTATATGTAATATGAGCTCTGTCTAAATTCCCAACCACCACCATGTATACACACACTAGACATAGTACTCCAAGAAATAGCAAAAAGGTCAACTATGGTGATCTGTATTAGTCAGGGTTCTCCAGAGAAACAGAACCAACCAATGGAGATATATATACATATATATATATATATATATATATATATATATATATATATATATATATATGTAGATTGATAAAGATTGCATATACATATATATACACAAAAAGATTTATTATAAGGAATCAGCTCATGGCAAATGAGACAATATGGAGGCTGGCAGTGCAAAATCTGAAGAGCTGATGTCCTAGTTCAAGTCTGAAGGCTGGAAGCTGTTATAGATAGAACCAATTAAGAGCTCACGTTCCAGTTTGAGTTCAAAGACTGGTAGGCCACCGCAGAACCAAGAAGAGACAATGTCCCAATTCAATTCTGAAGACTGGCAGGTAGGATAATTCTCTTCTACATGTGTGTATGCATGTGTGTGAGTGTGTGTGTGTGTGTGTGTGTGTGTGTGTGTGTGCCTTTTGTTCTATTCAGGCCTGATTGGATGAGACCCATCCATATCATGGTTTACTACCTTACTCAGTCAACTGATTTAAATGTTAATCTCATCCAAAACACCCACACAGAAACACCCAGAATGATATTTGATCAAATATCTGGGTAATCTGTGGCCCAGTCAAGTTGACACATAAAATGAACCACAACATGTGTTATCACTTAGTCTGTAAATTAGTGATAGCAGGGACCATATATTTTAGCATGGATTATACTGTTATTGATTTATGACTTCTTAGCCAAGCAGAATTCACTCTCAGTATTCAAGAAAATGAAATAATATCCTTGTTGATGTATTAACCCAAGAAGTGGCATGCTTCAATTGAAATTTGGTTACTTCTATAAGCCTGTGAGGAGCAGCTTAATTAGTAAAATCTCACTGGCCATTCAGTGTGCCTGCAAACATAAGCAAAAATAATAGGCAAGTGATTTATATACTTTTTGAAATTCCAAAATATCTATATGGAAGAATTCAGTTGTAAAGCTTTTCTTTAATTTCAATGAATACATTATTGCATCTAAAATTATGTGCACACTTCCCCAAAGAATATATACTATCATAACCTGATATTATACTTGTATTTGAATATATTACATATATTTATGTTGAATATAAATTTATATGCATGCCTCACCAAAGAACTATGTGCTATTACAGCCTGATACTATGTACTAGCACTTGCCTCAGCTCAGAGTTACAGAAAAATTTTCATCCCTCTAGAGGTGAAAATATTCTTCCTGAAAATGTTCTCTTTATAGAGGATAAAGGTATGTGTTGGTGGAAATTTAGTGGTTAGGAAAGGCAGAACAACGATGAGGAAGGAGTAGAGAAAGAGAAAGGAGACAAACATTAACCTTCTCAAGTAGCTTTTATCCAAAGAACAATTTTTAAATATAAAAATAATTTCTCTTTTTAAAAAAGCTAAGCAAAATACAGTGAAAAAGAATACTAAAGTAAAAAGAATAACAAAAAAGCAGCAATTGGCATTTCTAGACAAATTTCCTTCCCAGTGGTATTCACCCCATAGTCAATGTTGGGAACCTGAGACAGTGCCCTTACTGGAGGTGACTAGCCCCAAGTTCAGGGAGTACGCACTCCAGACTTTCTCATGTTAATCCTCAGCTCAGACCATTCAGCCAGGATACTACCCACAGCAGGACAAGATCTGTTCCTTGGGACATCTGCCTCAAGCATCCTTTAACAGTCCCAACCATAATCTATTCCTGTGTAATTATGTAATTATGCAATTAAATATAATAAAAGGCTGGGTGGGGAGGGGGAAACTTTCTCATTAGAGCAGGAGTTGAGCAGTTTCCAAACAGGAGCTATGAAATTTAGAGAAGAGGAAACCGACTCTCTAATACTTAAGAATAAATTCCTGGTCCAGTCCTAATCCTGTGAAGGAGTTGGAGATGCGCTTGCATTTTAAGACCCCAGTTCCATCTTAGTTCAGTGACTCTGAACTAAGAACCTACTCTAAACTCAGGCTTTAGAAGGCTCATCCCAAGCCAGACCTGACTCCTGAGCTGGCCAGGTAGTGCTAGGATACCCACCCATCCCAGCTAGAGTTCCTCAGACCGGGTTCTACCATAATATGTTGTCTTGAAATGGTTTTGTTTACTTCCACCAAGCACAAGCCAGGAGCTAGAAAATAGAAGGGAGGTCCTACCTGTGTAGCCACTCCAGAACACAAGACAAGGAACCCTCAAGCAGGTTTGTGGGTGAAAATCTTCTGATCTAGGCTTAGATAATCCAGATACTTAGTTAGGAAAGTAACTAAGCCTTGATTGTAACTCACTTTCAGACTCACAGGTCATCTCATTAATCCAATACAGTTGAGTGTCCCTTATCCAAAATTCTTGGGACCAGAATTGTTTTGGATTTCAGGTTTGTTTTTCAAATGGTGGAGTATTTACACTATACTTCCCATTTGATCATTACTAATCTGAAACTCCAAAACCTGAAATGCTCCAATGAGCATTTCTTTTCAGCTTCATCTCAGCACTCAAAAAGTTTCTAATTCTGGAGCATTTCAGATTTCAGAGTTTTGGATTAGGAATGTTCAATCCGTACTTGTATTATGTGTGTTTCTGGCTTTGAAATTTACAAAAAGCTTTTTCATACATTCATCCTATTGATGCCCTTGGGATGGCTTTGTACAAACAATGTCAGGTCAGAGCTGGAAATGCTGCTTTGTGCTCATATGTCCCAGTTTTTCAGTCTTTTTTTTTTAATGTAAAATTTTTAATTTCTGTGGCCACATAGTAGGAGTATATATTTATGGGGCACGTGAGATGTTTTGATACAGGCATGCAATGTGAAATAAACACATCAGGGTAAATGGAGTATCCATCATCTCAAGCATTTATGCTTTTCTTATGTTACAAACAATCCAATTATGCTCTTTTAGTTATTCCAAAATGTACAATGAATTATTGTTGACTGTAGTCACCCTGTTGTGCTATCAATTATTAGATTTTATCTATTCTAACTATACTTTTGCACCCATTAACCATCCCCATTTCCCACCCAACCACACTACTACTCTTCCCAGCCACTGATAACTACCCTTCTACTCTCTATGTCCATGAATTCAATTGTTTTAATTTTTAGATCCCATAAATAAGTGAGAACAAGTGATGTTTGTCTTTCCATGTGAGGCTTATTTCACTCAATATAATGTCCTTCATTCTTTTTTCTTTTTTTATGGCTGAATAGTAATCCATTGTGTCTATGTACTGCAATTTCTTTATCCATTCATCTGTTGATGGACACTTAGGTTGCTTCCAAATCTTGGCTATTATGAATAGTGCTGCAATAAACATGGGAGTGCAGATATCTCTTCAGTACACTGATTTCCTTTCTTTTTGGCATATACCCAGTAATGGGATTGCTGGATTGTATGGTAGCTCTATCTTCAGTTTTTTTGAGGAAACTCCAAACAGTTCTCTATAGTGGTTGTACTAATTTGCATTCCCACCAACAGTGTACGAGGGTTCCCTTTTCTTCACATCCTCCAGTTTCTCAGTCTTATTCAAATGCACATTTATAGGATGTTTTCATATCTAATCTTTGTTTTCACTCTGAAAACAAATCTTATTTTTTCTTTTAACTTTTCATTTCGATTTTTCACTTCTAACATCACCTGTGATTCTCATACATTCCTCCTGGCAATATGACTTTTTCTTTATCCACTTTTCCAGCAGCTACCATATGCCTTCCATTGTGCTAGTTAATCAAAGTAGAGAGACTATTACCAAATAATAGAAGACGTGGGTTCTTTTCATGGGTTGCTCATAAGGGAATTAGGAAGAAGTGGTGACACTAAGCTAGCATTTATGGGTCTCTCTAAAGCATTTTAAATATACTAACTAAATTAATGTTCACAACTACACCATGTGTTTAAATATTATATCTACACAGTTAGATGAGGAAACTGAACAACAGCAAAATGCTTAATTAGCTAATCAACATGCAGCTAAACAGCGAAGCTCAAAGCCACAATTTGAAATGTCAGTCTAACTTCTTAACCAGTTTGTTACACAGTTACTCTGTCTAATGTATAAATAACAAAATAATTGGAGATATATCATAATATGTAATAAAATATTAAATATTATAATCAATACAGGCATGGAAATAAGGAAATCATCACCATTAATTATGTAGTATAATATAGTTTGTATATTTGTCCTCTACAAATCTCATGTTGATATTTGATCCTCGATGTTGGAAGTGGGGCCTAGTGGGAGGTATCTGAGTCATGGGGGCAGATCTCTCATGAATGGCTTGTTGCCATCCTCACAGTATGAATGAGTTCTTGCTCTATTAGCTTCCACAATGATTGATTGTTAAAGAGCCTAGCACCCCCTCCCCCTCTCTTTTCCTCTCTCGCCATGTGAAGCTGCTCTTCCCTGCTTTCTACCATGAGTGGGAGATGCCTGAGGCCCTCACCAGAAGCAGATACTGACATCATGCTTCTTGTACAGCCTGTGGAATCTTCAGCCAGATAAACCTTTTTTCTTTATAAATTGTCCAGCCTCATGTATTCCTTTATGGCAACACAAAAGGACTAAAACATCATATAAGCATCACGAATAAAATGAGGTTGAAAAGTAAGCTGGGATCTCCAAGGAAGGCTTATCTTTGTTTCCCTTTTTCTGAGTGTAGTTGTTAAGCCACAGAAGTTGAAATCTCTACTCTCTTGTCCTGCCTTTGGATGCTACACCCATCACTGTGTTGACACAGCTCTTAAAGGTGCTCGCTTAATCAATGGATCCAGTGACTTTTCCATCCTGACAAGGCCAGTCATTACCATGGATGAGGTCCAGGCTTTCTGAAGTTGCTTCTACCAGCTGTCTTCTCTAGCAGCCAAATGCCATATTCTATCATCAGCCTGGCTGCATAACCTTGCATAAACTACTTAAAAACCTTCTGCCTCAGCTTCTACTTCTATAAAATGGAAATAATATTAGTACCTACTTAACAGGGTTTTGTGAGGATGAGGTGAGCCAATACCTGTAAAGTGCTTTAAATAATCCTGGCACATGAGGTTGAGAAGCAAGCTGGGGTCTCCAACGAAGGCTTTTTTTTTTAACATTAATAAAATATTTAATAAAGAGTAGCTCATTAAATGCACATGGCTCATTAAATGCCACTCTTTATTAATTTTTTTATGATGATTTTCTAAGTGATGTTTCACTCTGCAGTTTGCCTCACATCTCTTCTTCCCACATTTCAGAGATCTTGGCTGAGGTTCAACCATTATTCTTGTATCTTTCTTCCTGTGTCCTCTCTTCCCCAGAAATCGTATCTGCCCCTGAAGTTTCAGTGATTGTTTACATGGGTTCAGTATCCCTTATTTAAAATTCATGAGACCAGAAGTGTTTCAGATTTCAAATAATTTTGGATTTTGGGATATTTGCATTATACTTACTGATTCAGCATTCCTTATCCAAAGATCTGAAATCTAAAATCCTCCAATAAACATTTCCTTGGAGTGTCATGTCAATGCTCAAAAAAAAAAGAAAGAAAAGAGAAAGAGAGAAAGAGAGAAAGAAAGAAAGAAAGAAAGAAAGAAAGAAAGAAAGAAAGGAAGGAAGGAAGGAAGGGAGAAGCAAAGAAAGAAAGAAAGAAGAAGGAAAGAAAGAAAGAAGAAGGAAAGAAAGAAAGAGAAAGAAAGAGAGAGAGAAAGAAAGAAAGAAAGAAAGAAAGGAAGGAAGGGAGGGAGAAGCAAAGAAAGAAGAAAAAGAAAGAAAAAGAAAGAAAGAGAGAAGGAAAGAAAGAAGGAGAAAGAAAGAAAGAGGAAGAAAGAAAGACAGAAAGAAAGAGAGGAGGAAAGAAAGAAAGAGAAAGAAAGAAAGAGGAAGAAAGAAAGAAAGAAAGAAAGAAAGAAAGAAAGAAAGAAAGAAAGAAAGAAAAGAAAAGAAAAAAGAAAATGCCAAAGTGACAAAGGTGATGGGATGTTACTCCCATGATTACATTATGTTATATAACACTCCAACTTAGCAGACTGGAGCAAGAGAGACTCCTTGCTGGCTTGATGAATTAAGCAGTTACATTGGAGAAACCCACACAGCAAAGAACTCCAGACAGGACTGCAACAAAATGTGAGTCCTCAGTTATATAGCCTCAAGAAAATGAATTCTGTCAATAGCCTGGCTGAGCATAGTAGATTCTTTGAGCCTGTTGAGCCTCCTGAGAAAACACAGCCTGATTGATACCTTCATTACAGCCTTGTGTTACCCTCAGGAGAGGACCTTGCTAAACCATGCCCAAACTCTTGGCCCATAGAAACTATGAGATAACAAATGTTTATGTATTGGTTTAAGTGGCTAAATTTGTTATGTAGAAGAGAAAACTAATAACTTGGTATGAGTTGATATCCATGAAAACACTATTGTCTACATCTTACTGAGATTAGACACCAATGTAATCTTTGATTCCTAGCTACTTCTTGTCACTTACATTCAATCACTAAATCTGAAGTAATTGAGCTTATTAATAAGAATAGCTTATAATTATTGAGTAAGTTTATAAGCCATGCATTGAACTTACTTTATATAATAATCAGTGACTTATTCCCTTTATAGATGATAAAATTGAAATGTGGAAAAACATATTTTGCCATATTTTTCAACTGAAAAAAATCACAAATTTTTAAATTTAGAAAGGAGACTTTATTCCTTATAGAGGATTACAGCCTGCAGGGAGGCCACGCTGACAGGCTGGGAAGTGTAGCCTCTGGCAGAGACCATTGGCAGACACTTTGAAGGAGGAAAGGTGAGACAGAAATTTATGGTGAAGGGGTTGGCTAAGTATACATATTCCAAGTTTATAAGAAGAGCTATGAATATTCATGAAGGGTTCAGTACCCGAGACATGTGTACTGAACAAGCACACATATTACATGCATCCCATGTTCACTTTGAGGTGGACATTTAACATTTAAATGCATTACAATTAGGCCCTATATGTCAAAAGGTGAGGCAAGGACACAAAGGCATTCAAGTACGCAGCCTCTGTAAACCAGCCAGAACCCATCTAAGGTTAGGGGTCTTCTTATCTGGACAAGGTTATTGAAATTAGTTTCTTGTCCAATCAAAGCTGCAGTAATGGCTTGTGGAACAGGGGAGTCAGTGAGTCAGCAGCCAGCAGTGGATGAGCTGCACTTATTTTAATACTGCTTTTCTTGAGGTCAATGCTTGCTTAGGTGCTAAAGAAAAAGAAAAACCTTGTGGTAGTTAGAACATAGTTTATTCTTTACGTGGAGGGATGCGTAGCTCAGCTTAAGGCCTGGTGTGGCCTTAGGTCCTGTTTATAATTTGGTATTTTATTGTCACAAAGAGTCCATTCTGTCAGTCTTATAATCTCTATTTTAACTTTAATGCTGGTCAGTTTTGTCTGAACTACAAAAGGAGGGGATATAATGAGGCGTGTCCAACCTCCCGTCCTGTCACGGGCTGGAACTCAGTTTTTAAGGATTCTCTGGGGTCCCCTTGGCCAAGAGGGGTCTCTTCAGTCAGCTGCTGGGGGTGTGCTTAGGATTTTGTTTTTAGTTCTTATATTCAAATCTGGTATCAGATTCCAAATCCTGTGATCTTTCTGCTACAGTGGACTGACCATCCAGGTGTCTCTGTTAGATCAGAAGTCCTAAGTTACAGTTAAAATTCAGACTCTTTTCACCAGCATTTGAAATTGTTCGGTCTGGTCCTAATTCCCTCTTCAGGCTTTTCCCCCATTATTCATTTGCTCTCTCTAAAATTTCTTGATGTTTTTCTACTTCCTAGTGTCAACTCACAATCTCCTTTAGTCTTGTAACATCCTCAACAAAAGAAACACAATCTACTCCTTTACTATCTTAGCAAGAGAAGAAAAATAGAAGAGGAATTTTTTTTTTAAACGAAGTCTCACTCTGTTGCCTGGGCTGGAGTGCAGTGGTGAGATCTCGGCTCACTGCAATCCCAGCTTCCTGGGTTCAAGCAATTCTCCTGCCTCAGCCTCCCAAGTAGCTGAGATTACAGGCGGCCGCCACTACACCCAGCTAACTTTTTGCATTTTTAGTAGAGTTTCACCATGTTTAGGGGTTTCACCATGTTGGCCAAGGCTGGTCTCGAACTCATGACCTCGTGATTCACCCGCCTCGGCCTCCCAAGGTGATGGGATTCCAGGCATGAGCCACTGCGCCTGGCCCAGAAGAGGAATTTTTTAAGTGTAGTGGGGTGGGCATACCATGGGGCCCTCATTCTGTTACTCCAAATTTCACCTTCAATTCAGCATCTGAATCCCAGGACTACCTCTGCCACTGTCATGTTATCCTCTTGGATATCCCTTGCTTTTAAATATATGAGGAATGTACTGGAGATGCCTGCCACAACCTGTCTCACATTTCGCCCCTTCTGCAGAAAGTTTCCTTACTCCCCTCTTTAACAGGTGAATGGATTGCTCAGTATCAGTGCCACCCTGAGCCAGATCGAAGCTTGAGGCAAAAGGAAAGGTGTGTGCTCTTATGTATATACTTATCAGAACACCCTTCCATGTTTTGAACCAAGCAGGAAAAGATAATTAAAGTTCTACAACTAAAAAAAGTGACTACATGTAGGGCTCTGCATTGCATAATCTGTTCACACCTCATTGTCAAACCTCATAAACCTACCCCATGAGGACCTGGTGAGGGAGGCAAAAGCCACAGGGTCCAGCAACCATGTGCAAAACACATGGTTCATAAACCCCCATTGTGCAAAAAACACAGGGTCGTAAAACACACAAACAGTGCCATCCTGTCTCTATGTAAAATTTTACTATTTCTTCCTCAAGGACTTCTTTTTCACTAATTTTGCATTTTAACTATTGTATTAAATATTATCTTGATTACTGATTTTTTGGCACTCCATTAAATTTTGCACAAAAAGACAGTGTTTTACTCTTTTCACTAATTCTGGTCTTATTCAATATCAACTGCTCAGTCCCAGCTGATTGAACCTACTATGGCCATCTAACCCAAGAACAGCCCATACGCGAGACTGGTATTGATCCACTCTATTCTGCCATTAAGGAAATTGCTGTGGAAATTACAGTCCAGAAAATACTACAGCAATCATGCAAATTTTCACACATAGGGTGACATCATTCTTTCCCCTCACCTCTCTCCCATTCTTCCTGTGTGACCAAGACGCCTCCTGTGGAAGGGAGGGGGTGAGGGAAGGAGCGGAAAGGAGAGTTCCCAGGCTGAGTCTGGAACGGAACAGGACATGCGAACTTGATAAGAAAGTTGGCTATGGTGAGATAATAGGAAAACCTAGACCTTGTAATGTGGGGTTTTATGCAACATGTACTTCTTCAATCAGTTTTCTCCTATTTTCTCTTGATTTTTTGTGACATTCTCTTTACTTATCAAGCACAACGCTATCTGCCAGGGCCCAGATCATGGATAAGCTTTGCCTAACTCCTGCTATGCACGGTATCTCTTCCTTTCACATCTTCTGTCTGTACCTCCAAGGCTGTCTCTTTACATCAGGAGTCCCTTCTATTTTAGTCACCTCGAGTAGCTGCTGAGCCACCTCACCCAACCAGTAGAATCAGTTCCTGGAAATCAGTCTCAGGAGTCAGAAATTTGAAACAAATTCAGTGACCTTCTCCCCCAAAGGACGTAACTATACTGGCCATCCACAAATTACCAACAAAGAAAAGCCATTTATTTTAATACATTATAAATTTTCATGAATGAAAACGTTAATAAATGACAACTGACATCATCAGTTTAAGAGCATTTGCCCCTGGTGATTTGTATAGCCCTGCTGACATTAATAAGAGAATATCTTTGTTCCTTGCCCTTCATCTCTCTGGTGCCAGGAAGACAAGCTACATTCACTCCCTTCCTTAAAATTATAAACTCAGCTTATCTCCTGGGAACCAGACCTTCTCCTGGGCTGGACGTGATTCTCCCATAACCATAAACATGTAGAGAAGTTTAAGTGCAGTTGGGTGGGTATTGTCCTTCCTAGCAAGCTGGTGGAAATTTCATCAAGGCCAGTTTTTGGAATCTGACCTGTGAATAGCGATGGAATCCAGAAATTTATATTTACTATTGCGGCATGCTTTTCAATTGTATACTTCCCAGAATAAATTTTAAGTTACTCATTGAAAAGATCGAGTCTTAAATGACTTCCACTCCCAGAATGGCCAGCACACAAATAGCTCTTCAAGGAATAATCTGACTTCTGCATTTTGAGCATCTTTGTCTCACTTAACATTTAGTGTACCCCTGTTTGGACCAGGCAAAGGGAATATGTGTTAATTAGGGGAAGTTCCTGCTAGTCCTCGGGGTCTTGGATGAAAGAGGGAAAGATAGGTTATAGAGGCTAATCCCTGCTGTCTCAGAACTACCCTGCAGCAGTGCTTGAAGGCACGGGGTTGGAGGTGTCTGAGATGTAGGAAACAAGTACAGTTTCTAAAGCTATTTATTCAAGATATCCTATCAGACACAAATCTTAAAGAATCAGCTGCTTCCCGAGGACAAACAGTTACTGTGCAGGAAAACAATACTGGATGTCTCAAATTTGGTAGGGCAGCTCTGCACTGTACATGTAGCACATGATCCAGACCCACAAGAAGGAGAAGCTGCTTTGTAGATGGTAAACTGGATGGATGGACTACAGAGAAAAAGGAAAATAAAGCACGCGTTGAAAACCAGGGATCAGAAACACGAGGAGGCTTGCATCAGTGGAAAACTGGATTGGTGATGTGTATTAGTCTGCTCAGACCACCACAACAAAATACAGTAAATTGAATTCAATTTATGAAAATAGATTTAGCAAGTGGATAACAGAGGGAAAGTCATTTCTGGCAGAAGGATGATCCAAAGCACAAATGTACCGAAAATGCGACAGTTTCACGCAAAATCTGTACACGAGTGTTTAAAGCAGCTTCACTCATAATGACCAGAACTTAAAAGCAACCAGAATGTCCTTCAATAGATGAATGAATAAACAAACTGTGGTACAGTCATCCCCTTATCTGAGGGGAATACATTCCAAGACCCCCAGTGGATGCCCAAAACCTCAGATAGTACTAAACTTAACATATATTATGTTTTTTCTTATACATACATACGTATAGTAAGGTTTAATTTATAAATTATGCACAGTAAAAGATTAACAATAATAATAAAATAGACCAATTATTGCAATATACCGAAGTAAATGTTACGTGAGTGAATATGGTCTCTCTCACTCTTTCTCTCTCTCTCAACTTATCTTATTGTACTGTATTCACCCTTCTTGTGATAATGTGAGATTATAAAGTGCCTATGTGATGAGATGAAGAGAGGTGAATGACCTGGTATTGTGGCATAGTTTAGGGCTACTATTGACCTTCAGACATTATGTCAGAAGGAGCGTCATCTGCTGAGGGTGATCCTGACTCATTGAGCCAGGACAGTGTTGATGGTTGGATGTCAGGAGCAGATGATGCTGATGACTCATGGGCATGTGGCATATGAAGTGTGGATATGGTCAACAAAAGGCTGCTTGACTCTCCCAGGGCACTAAGTGGGACAGCAAGAGATTTCATCAGGATACTATAGTGTACAACTTAAAATTTATGAGTTATTTATTTCTGGAATTTTCCATTTAATATTTTCACAGTTGACTATGGGGACCTGAAACCATGGAAAGCAAAACCACAGATAAGGGGAAACTAATGTACCACTGGCAGGGCTGCTTAAACAACAAAAAATTTATTCTCTCACAGTTCTGGAGGCTAGAAGTCCAAGATCAAAATGCCATCAGGGTTGTAGGTGTCAGTTAAGGCCTCTCTTCCCAGCTTGCAAGCAGCTGCCTTCCTCCTGTATCTTCACAAGTTCTTTTGTCTGTGATGAGCAGAGAGAGAGAAAGATAGCTCTCTAGTGTCTCTTTCTCTTCTATCTCTCTCTCTCTCTTTTTTTTTTTTTTTTTTGAGACAGAGTCTTGGTCTATCTCCCAGGGTAGGGTGGAGTGCAGTGACGCTATCTTGGCTCACTGCAACCGCCTCCTCCCGGGTTTAAGGAATCCTCGTGCCTCAGCCTCCCAAGTAGCTGAGACTACAGGCATATGCCACCACTCTCGGCTATTTTTTGTATCTTTAGTAGAGATGAGGTTTCACCATGTTGGTCAGGCTGGTCTCGAACTCCTGACCTTGTGATCCACCCGCCTCAGCCTTTGAAAATGCTGGGATTACATGCGTGAGCCACCACACCGGCCTCTTTCTCTTCTTAGAAGGATAACCGTCTTATTTGATTAGGGCCCCACTTTTATGTCCTCGTTTAACTTTTGTTACCTCTCTAAAGGCCCTGTCTCTAAATACAGTCCCATTGTAATTTAGGGCCTTAACACATGAATTTGGGGAGGGACACAATTTGACCCATAACAGGATTATTTCACAAAAATGGCCCATTTGCATCAGCATCTTTCTTAGAAGGGCTCTTCTAGAGTTGCCTCAGGGAGGTTAATCAAATTCCTCAAAGTCACACAGTTAGAAAATGGTAGAACAGACTTTTGGAATCTAGGCAGTAAGTAGGATAGACTTTGGAACCTGTCCTTTTAATCACTATGCATACTGCCTTCAAGTGGGAAATTTTTCATCATTTCCTCCACCAAATAACTATATTTAATTATTTTTATGTTTTTCTTATGCTCCAGAGTCCTGGCAGTTCTCATGTTATTTTTGTCACTGTTTTAATTTTCCTTACCTTACAAAGACTTTTACTCTAGTAGATCATAGCACAAGGGAATTATTTTCTCTTCTAAAACTTGACAGATCAAACACATTTCAGGTTGTCAGATGGAGTAAATCTTTGCAACAACCAGGCAGTTCTAGAAGCACAAATAAGTAGTTCCAGAAGCACAAATACTTTTAACCACTTGTGTACCTAGAAGGGTCAATATAAAACCCATCCAGTGATCTCTGATACATACAATATACAATATTAAGGACAACATGATCTCACTGGTCCTTATGGTTTCATATCATTTATTTCACCAGTTGACATAAACATTTAGTTTCTGATGATCTTACCCTTGATACAAACATTAAACTCAAATTAACAACTGATTAAATGCCTCATATTTAAATATATTGATTATTTTTTTGGCAGAAAAGAAAAATGAAAGTGATGAATTTTTTTCGTTCAGTAGCCTGAAGTTATGTTTCCAACAAAGTATAGGACCTAAATTCCCATTAGAAATTGGACACAATGGAAATGTGTTTGTTTGTTTTGATAAGAGAAAAGTATTGATATGAACATGAAAAGCCTGAAACGCCAAACTACTGCACATGTGAATACGTGTCACACGAAAATGGTGTTACAATTGTGACACAGTTACACAAACCAGGACTTTCTCAGGGACAGATTTTTGAGACCACCAGTAACTGTGAAAAAATGTTCCCAACAACAGTCTAAGAGAATAGAAAGCACAAAATTTCATTTTCTGATGGTAGAGCAGCACCGTCTAACGGAACCTTCAGTGGTGATAGAAACGTTCCATTTCCTGTGCTGCCAATACAGTCACCATTAGCCACATGTGGCTATTGGGTATACGAAATGTGGCTAGCTGGATTTAGAAACTGAAAGATGTTTTAAAACAACTTTTAAAATTGTATTTTATTTGAATCCAAATAGCCACAGGTGGCTGGTGGCTGTTGCATAGATAGTACAGTTTTAGAGTGCAGCAAAGATGTTCATATATACGTTGTGTTCTTTTTTTCTTTATTTTTTGAATGCTTAAGGAAAGGACAAAAATAAAGTCTTTGAAGGTAATGGTTTGAGTGAAGAATAGGGGAGGCCACGTTCCTGCTCCCAGTTTCCAGTTGCATCCGTCACATGTTTCTCAGTTTCAGTTTGCAGACCTATAAAATTCAATACAAATTGCACTGTGGTTTTACTGTGAGAGGCAGCCCTGATTGGTGAATAGGGGATTGGAGAGGGGGCAGCTGATCTGGCATTCAGTCTGGGTACTCTGTTCCCTGCACAGGCCCTTGGCTCCCTGAATTTTAGTTTTGACAGCTGAAAAATAAAATGGTTGAACTCAACAAATGCTAGGGCCTCACTGGCCATAATGTTTTACACTCTTATCCAATTGACAACACGTTACTAACACATTTTTTAAGCTGGTGTTATTGCTTGGTGGAGATAGAAATAAAATCTTAGAAATCTACTGATTTAAGATAAGCTTTAAGGAAGTGCCAGAAATGCTTTTGATTTTCTGTAGGAAAGGTTTTGTGACAGGTTAGAACTATAATAATGGATCATATGCATACTTTTCTAGCCTAGTAGTTGGCAATAAAAGTTATTTGTGTGCTTATAGCTGCATTGCTATTCCCACAAGCTCCATTGCTTCATACATAGAACAACCATAACTAGACCTGCAAAATGGTCTCAGCGGTAGGCTCTGCATGGTAAAGACAGTGTTTACACAAAGCAGTTAGCTATCATCTTATGAGAGGCCTCTAAATCAAATTTGCACATACAAGCAAGGGTTTGCAAGGACTAATCAGATAATTATACCCCAGGCAACCAATTTGCATGGCAAGTTGCACAGTTTTCTTTGCTTTACATTTCATCTTTGGTAAAATAGGGTACCACGTAAAAATCTCAGTCTGTGTGGTGTTTCGTTTGTAATTACCGGTGTTCACTAAAACAGGTTATGAGTTTATAAGGATCATGTTGTGCTCTGTGACTTATAGTGCAAAATGACCTCACACTGTAGCAACCAGCAGGGTACCCGGGCCATCTAGAATTGTTTTGCTCCCTACCCCTCCTCCAACATAAAAGATACAGAGTTTCTTTGAAAAGTAGACAAGAAAAACTCAATCTCCAGCCTATGAGGCTTATTACTCTATCATCAGATGTATGGTTTGTAACATAAAATGTATGTAAGCCAGTCTACACCTAATATTTTAATAGAGAGATGACCAGTTGAAACTTTAAATGCCTAACACTCTTCTCCTTGCTTTTTAGAAAACTCTCTATATAGTTCTAATGGGCTCTTAAAATATGAGGTAACCACCAGAAATAGCTGCTTTATTTAAAAAGCTCACTGTTAAGGTGCTTTTGCTAATCTGACATCAGGGAAAACTCAAGTTCAAATTTCATGCTTTGGAAAGCAATAAAAATCACCACCTGGAAATCCAGAGGCACCGGCAAATTGTTATTCAAAACAGGTGTGTCAGCTTCATAGAAACATGGCAGAAATCATTCAGTGGTTCTGGAAAGAAGGCTAAGGTCCCACAGGGCAGCAACTTCCTGGAAGGCCTTTGCCTTTAGAGTTCTAGCTTTGCATATCATGTTCACTGTCCTGAAAAGAAAAATCTATTAGGTATGCCTAGGATGGAAATAGGTGAGTTACACCCACTGGTTCAAACCATTGCCCTTAAATAAAAGAACTGAAAACAACAGACTCCACATGTTTATGAGCTCAAATCCTAGTGGATACTTCTATAAATCTTTTCCATTTTTTATTCTTTTTTTTTTCCTTCTTGGCTCAGGTCTGGATCATGAAAAGAAATGCTACACACTGCCAGAAAGGATATTTGCAGAACTTCCAACCTCACCTTAGTAAATCCTTCTGATGCAGATTCTATGGGGATAATTTCTAGACTTCAAATTATTTAATACGTACCAACCACTAATAATATTCTGAGCAAAAAACCCCACAGCATTTGATGTAGTCATTAGTTAGAAACTCAAATAAGGTATGAATAGACAGGGTAGAAATATGAACTCACTAATTCTATAAGCCTTTTTGAGTACTTATTGTGGTAGGCTGCAATACTATTTCCATCTTTTTACTCTACTCTATATTCACACTTTTTGCCATGTGGCTTTGCAGTTTCTTCCACTAAGCATGGAGTGTATTTCCCTATCTTATTAATATCGAGCTTGATCATGTGACTTCCTTTCACCAATAAAATACTAGTGAGCATGACATAAGCAAATGTTTGACGTGTGTGTGTGATTGGGCTTGGCCTTTTGCGCTGTTGCCTTCGCTATGGGAATTTTTTCTTCTAATCAGCTGCTGCACCTTCAGCCTGGGTCCCAGGAACAAACATGGCTCAGCCTACAGCAAAGAGCCAAGATAACTAGATCCAACACTTGAAGGAGAGCCTCCCCGCTGAGCTCAGCCTAGATCTGCCGACCCATAGCCAACCACAGAGTGACGCTCTGGAGTATCAGTGATACATTTCGTATGATGCTGGTTTGAGTGTAGTTTGTTCCTAAGCATTTTTTCAGTAATTGTTGACAACGTGCTAGGCATTGTGCTGGACCCTGGGGATATCAATAATTAGAGACAGCCTCTGCTTTTGAGAAATTGGATCTAATTGGAGAGACATGTACATAAACAGCACAATATAGTTAGTGTTACAAGAGATCTGAACCAGGTACTTTAGGAAACAAAAAAAAAAAAGAGAGAGAAACAAATTGATGACCTAGATAGATGTTCATCACATTAAAGTTAGGCCATATTTAGTTTATACTAGTCCTTTTTTATGCCTTAAAGATAGTTCCTGAGAAAACTGACCTTTTATATACCTAATACAATCTTAGCTCTTGCTAGTTAATAATTGTGCTTGTTTATAAGTCATGTGTTTAAAATATACTTATTTTATCCTCATTTATTTACACGTGCCTTAAAATGACAACTGATCGAATACTAAACTTAGGCTAAATCTCTACCATGATTTGAATTCTATTTTATTTCTGGGCATCATAGTGTATCCTTCTACCCAGCCAAGAAAATATACAAACCATCTGGGAATTGACAAGATATATATTATTTCTCTATATGTAAATCTACGTTATGTGGAAATGCAAGGGGCCAAAGCTGTACTGCTGAGAAGACAATTCTACAACTGCAAATTCCTTCCTACCATTTAGAATATCTAGTCTTAATCCTACTGTTTGCTTGCATTAAAGCAAAAGATGCCATTATTTTTCTGCAAAAGAATTACTTTGCATTACTCTCCAAAGACTTATGAAATTCTGGAGATAGCAAGCAAGGAGGTGAACGGTGGAAGAATAGATGTTGAAGTTCTTGATCTCAGATGAGGAGAGGCTAATGCTACATGCCATAGTCTTTTCAATGAGAAGCATGGCTGCATTTGCCCCCAGTCTGTCCTAGCCTTGTAGGAGGCCTAAGTGAAGGTACCCAGCCATTGTAACCAAAAATGTAAATATCCCTCTGGGTTCGATAATTCAGGAATGCTGCTGGAGAATTAATACTATCCCCAGGATCAGCGGACACTCAGCATGGGTGGACACTCAGCACACCACACTTCCAAGACTTAGGCAAACATCAATCATGAAATTATTTCCATTGATGATTTAGAATTCTTTTACAAATATGTTGCAGAAAGCCACTATAGTTTGGAGCTTAAGCACATGAACGCTGGAGCCAAAGGACCTAGGCTGAAATGTTGCATCTCCTACTTCCTAGATACGTTATTTGGAAAAATCAATCTTTCTCTATACCTCAGTTTCCTCATCTGTAAAGCATGTGTAGTGATACCACCTATTTCTTAAGGTTGTTGAGAAGAGGAAATGAGATAATGCATCCAAATTACTAAGAAAAGTTTATTGCACATACAAAATGCTAAATGATTGGTAGCTATTTAAAATATTCCTCATCTGCCAGACTATGCATGTTGTATCTATTTTGTTATACCATCCCTGCATTAGGACATCATCATCAGAAATGTCTGAGTTGAGAAGGAACCTAAACACTTAGTTTACCCACTCACCTATCACCTCATCCCCAACACACACACACACAGACACACAAACACACACACCTTACAGACTAGAAAACTAAGGCTAAGAGGGTAAATGATTTGCTAAGAGTTAATGGCTAGACTAGAACTGGGTTATTCTGGTGCCTGATAAAGAGCTATTTCCATTAAACCAAATTGAGGTAAGACAATTTATTTCTGGGGGTGTTGGGGGGGGGGGTTGATCAAAATTGACCAAACCTTGCCAGAGAGCTTTGCACAGCCTGTCATGCAGAATCACCACCAAGCTGCACAGACAGAGGTCAGACAAGCTAAGATTATCATTAGGGTTTGCCAACAGTGCTATCCTTTCTTTTGGCACACTAACTGGTGGAAAAACTTTGGGAATTAAAGTAGAAACATGGCATATCTCTGTTTCCCACAATTTAACTTCTCTTTTGCAGAAGCTGTGTTGTGTAAGACCCTAAGCAATTTCTTGTTCGCCATGTTGCCAAGGGACTTAATTCTTTTGTCTCTCCAGTGATAGTTAAGATTCTAGCAGTGGCTAGATTTTACGAATGGTATTGATTTAGCTCTTCAGTGGGTACAGGATTCTTTTCCAACTTTGCTACAGCCATGCCACTTTGACACTGCAGAAGTTCCTCTCCACCACGAAAACACACACACACACAGACACACACAGACACACACAGACACACACACACACACACACAAACAAGGACCAGCATCACTGTTCCTTATGGCAAACCTGTTAGATGGACAAAAGATTACATTGCCTTTTATCTGTGAGAAAATTGAGGTTTAGAGAATTCTTGAGGCTTGCTGCAGATTAAAACAGCAGAATAATAATACCCACCCAATCTTCTGCCTATAAATGCTTTGTTTTTGAGTGATGATGGATGGATGTGTTAGCCATTCTGGTATGGGGAGCCCATTCTCAGTGTTTATGGCTGCTACTCAATGCCAAGGCAAGTGGCTAATGCCAAAGGCTCTTCTATATTTTTCCTCCCCTAAGAAGAGAGCTCAAGAAAAACTCATTTTTGACAAGTGATTTAAAACAGATAACATAGACTTTCTTTTCTGAACTCTGGGCTGGCATGGTGTTACCCTCAGCCTCCATGCTCAGATGTGAGCACTCTCGGGAGAGGAAAAGTGTTGACATTTAGTTCTGTATTTCTAAGTATTAACACACGTGGTGGGGAGCCTTTTACAATTACTCACTCATGCTGAGGTCTTGGGTGGCCCGTTTGAGCCTTTTTCTCCCTGATGTCCAATCAAACTGCCATGACCCAGCACGGATATTGTTGTCAAGTGTTGGCAGGAAACTCATCCCATTGAAACCCTCCTAGGGGAGTGAAAAATATAAGGAGGAGCAAATAAAATGAGGATTTAAATGATCTTTTAGAAATATCTTTAATTGCACACAGAAAGGCCTAAATACCTGCTGCTGAACCTCAACAACCCTAAAATGCATGCTTTAGAGTAAGGGCATCTAGGGGGCCACGTTCTTCTTCTTGCTTCCCATTGCTTCCCTCTGTCTCTCTATTCTCCCCCTTTGCTCAAACCCCACACGTAGGAGGCAAACCCCCCACCATTTCTGTGTGACCTGAAGGAATGAATCCTGTCATATTAGTTCCATTTTCCTAATAGAAGTTGTTCTAATAAGTTTAAGAGGCCACCAGAGCCCTTTGAGTTAGGAACAAATCGCAAATCATCATAACACTACACCTAGTCTCATTTTATGACAGCAATAAATCAAAAGCAGCCTCACAGTGTGAAAACTAGCTACAGCAGTCACAAGTGCCAGGTTCTTGGAAATGCCAATGCCCAAACGTCTTTAGCTTTGCAGTGTATGTTTTGGCTGCCGGAGGCTCAATTTTTCAATTAAGGATTTTTAAAAAAAGAGTGTGTATGTGAAAGAGAAAGAGAACAGCTTCAGGTAAATTTGCCAAGCCAGACAATGAGGCTCTTGTTCTTTATGAATTATATTTACTTATTTTAGCTTTACTTTTGTGTTCATATGACTTCGAAAAGAATATTGGATGTGGAGTCCAGCCAGAGTGTTTACACACAATTTAATGTGATTTTGATTGTAAATGAAATACAAGTCTCCTAAAGATGCTACCTGGGTTGGCATCATCAAGGGCTCTAAAAACTTGATGAGATTTCATCTACAGCACGAGCTTCTTAGGTGTTGGTTAGAATTCCTCATGGTTTTACAAAAGATTTCTTGCATAATTATACACAATGAGAATAACTTAGAAAGAGACTTGGTACATATCCATCATTTAGTGTTGCCTTTCACAATAGGCAATTGAATTTTTTAAAATGCCATTATTATTCTCTTAGTAGAAAATGATATGAGTAACATGTTTCCTACTAAGCACTGTATGTCAGAGACTATATTGAACTTTGCAGTTGCTCCCTGAAATAATTTTTCACCTAATATGAATTAATTTTTTAAAAAGCAAATGAGAGCTTAGCAAATGAAACTGATAATCATAGTTCAAAAGTTTGGATATTAATCCTTGATATGAGTTGTTGCTAATAAATCTTTTGGAAAAAACAGTTTACCTGACATTCTTTTTTTCAAAAAACAATTATATTTGAAATTATTTTATACCTTTAATTTAGGGGCCACCAAAACCTTTATTAAGTTTCTGATTAATTATTCTGTCATATTAGCCACACGCTGGTGTCCACAATCAAAATCAAAGAGTCATCTTAGGCTGATACTGGTTCTTCATACCCCACATCCATGGTAGTGGTCAGTTTCTTCCTTCATAATGTCTAAACATCATCCCTCTCTTCCAGGGCCTCTTCTTCAGGAAATATTTTCACAGTCTCCTTACTGACTACCCAGTCTTTTGTAGCCCTTTAATCCTTTCTACACAGCAAGGTCAGATTAAATCCCTCTGAAGCTCCACTTTCACCATGCTTACTTCCCTAATGATTTAAGAAGGTACAATGGCTATCTATTGCCTGCCACATGAAATCACACCATCAGCTAGCTGGTATAACTATATTAGTCAAAAAATTAACTGTCACAGTAGCACTCACAGACAGATACCTGAGTACAGACAGGACTCATAGAGGGTTACATCCTCCTGGGCTGGTTATGAGCAAGGGGCTGGTCTTGGACAATATGTTTTTAGGTACATTCTATTTCTTAGACTGCCCAGTAGGCTCTGGAAAATTGATTCATTCTAATAACACGCATGAAGACAGCTATTAACTAGGACACAGATTTCTTAATTTTCAGTGGTCCAACCACTACCAGGGCTGGGAACAGGACTGGTCAGATCTGAACAGGGCACTCCCTTCCTGGTGAGTGGTTCCCCCGGGAGACCAGACTATTTATCAGAGGGCGTGTAGGAAGCACAAAATCGAAAAAAGGAAATTGATTGTTGCTTGAAGGAAATATGCGTCATACTTATACAACCCAACCTATTGACCTTCTCCACCCAAGGGACAGCTCAGACTATGAAGGAAACAGAACTATCCTTATCATCTAAATCAAAACACCAATATCCCTTGGGAGTGATGAATAAACAGGGATGGTTCTTTTATCTACTTGTTTGTGTTAGTTACCTATACTTAAAAACAAACAAACTAAATGTACTTATTGGTTTCCCAACTTCATATCATTATGGTACCTCTTTGTGATATGTTAGTACATTCAGCCTGACTTTCACTTTAGGCTTTCTTCCTAATGAAGCAAAATTTCATAAATAAGCAATTCCTAAATTACAATACAGTATGAGATAAAATTACACAAATTCCAGTCATTGCCTGGTGTTAAATTCTTGTGCCTATTTCATTGAGTGTGATTTCCCAGCCTTGTCTCCAAAGATAAAGATTTATCTGACTTCCATTCATATATTCCTATCCTATCACCAAATGGCCCTGAAATTCACTTCCACTTCGCAAACAATTTACCCAACTCATAGAACCCTACCAATATTCTGTTTCCTCCACTCAGTTAACTCAACAGTTTTTTTTATTAAGAGCTTGCTGTTTTCTACACACTTTGATGGAAATCCAGGCAAGTAGATGAGGAATGAAGACACAGAGATAAATAAGAAAAACAAAGGCCTTGCTCCCCTGAATGAAGGTGTCAGTTGGTGACACAAACAATCACAGCACAATTTGCTAAGAGATGGAATAAGAGGTAGCCATTGGCCAGGCGCAGTGGCTCATGGCTGTAATCCCAACACTTTGGGAGGCCAAGGAGGGTGGATCACCTGAGGTCAGGAGTTCGAGACCAGCCTGACCAAAATGGTAAAACCCCATCTTTACTAAAAATGCAAAAATTACCCCAGCATGGTGGTGTGTGCCTGTAGTCCCAGCTACTTGGAAGGCTGAGGCAGGAGAATTGATTGAGCCCAGGAGGAGGAGGCTGCAGTGAACCGAGATCATGCCACTGCACTCCAGCCTGGGTGACAGAGTGAGACTCTGTTTCAAAAAAAAAAAAAAAAAAAAGAGGTAGCCATTATGTGTGGAATAATAAAGCTGAGAAGAACATGATTCACTTTATCTTGGGGAGTTATCATGTGCTTGGGGTGACACCTAAATGTGATCCTTAAGAATAATGATCTCCCCAAAATGCCCGCACCCTAATTCCCGGAACCTAGAAATATGTATTATTATGGGAAAAGAGATTTAAGGTTGAAGATGAAATTAAGGCTGCTAATGAGCTAACCTTGAGATGGGGAGATTATCTTGGATTATCTGAGTGTGTTTTATGTAGTCACAAAGGTCCTTAAAAGTTGGGGAAGGAGGCAGAAGGGTCAGTATCAGACTGATGTGATATGAGAAACTCATATTGCTGAATTTAAACATGAAAGGAAGCCAAGAGTCAAGAAATGCGGGAACCCTCTTGAATTTGCAAATGGCAAAGAAACAAATTCTCTCTTCCAGAAAGGAACACAATCCTAGTATTGGCTGGTACCTTGATTTTAGCCCAGTGAGACCATTTTGGACTTCTGACCTCCAGAGCTATAAGATAAAGTTGTGTTGTGTTAAGCCACTAGCTGTGGTAATTAGTTACAGCAGCAAAAGAAAACTAATGCAAAGGGTAAGTAGGATTTCACCAGTGAAAGCAGCTAGTGAGGGTCTTGTAGTCAGGGGATATGTTTAATCAGGTACTTGTGGTCTAGGCTCTGTCACATATGATATTACAACAGAAATGTACTTTTGTGTGGTAGAAAATTATTAGATGACTATCAATAAAGGCTATTAGTGATGTAGATTGGAAAAGGTGCTTTGATATCAGTTGATAAAGAGTAGCAATAAGAATGTTGCAACAATGTGAATTAAAGACATTGTGTGCTTCAAATTCCAGGAAATTAAGCACTAGGATACAATGAATGGATGGTATGAAATAACTGCCTTAGTCTAAAGTTCCCATTGCCATCTCCACTTCCACAACAAGAGGCTCCATTTGCACCTCATATTCAATAGATCTTATATAATCTCACTACTTGCCTCCTGCAAAATGTACTTTTCTTTAAAGTGCCCCATTTCTTTTCGTGGCACTGTTGTTTGTATTCCTAATCACACAAACTTGACATTTCTAAATAATCTACCTCCCAACCTCCCTACACTCAACAAATTATCCTGTTGTATTGCTTCTGTCACCATGATCTTCCAGTGTCTTTCTCCTTTTTCTCTTTCCTATTCTACCCATATGTGGGTAGAATTTTAAACTATTATTTATGCTCTTTTCCCAATGAGTCATGAATTTCCCTTCCCCTCTTCACAGCTTCTCCATGACGTTTCCCTGCTTTTTTCCTCTTGTGAACTCCAGTAACACCAATTGTTCCTTGTAATACTTAAAACTTCCAGAAAGAATGTCTTTTCTCATGTTTCATCATGCCCATTCTCCCTCAATTTTTAGTTCACTACTGTTAACCTCATTACTGTTAGCTCTTCTATTGAAAAAGCTTTCTCTGAGGTCAAAAGTGACCTTTTTAGCTAATTTCAGGATCTATTTTGAGACTCCCTTCCTTAACTTGACCTCTCTGGGACATTGACATAACTGACAATTCTCTTCTTTCTGAAACTCCTCTTCCTTGGATCCTAAACTGCCCATTTCCTAAACCCTACTTTGACTGTCTTACTCATTATTTTCCATCTCCTCTAATAACTATTCAATGTTCCTATCCTGCTTTTGCTGATGCTTCCCACAGTCTTAACCTAAAATCCTCATAATTTTCATCATATTCTACAGATCTCTTCTCAAGGTATTGTGATCTAAGTGTATCTTAGAGAATGAGAGAGACCACTAGAATTTCTTAACTCTGTTGGAATTCTTTCTTTCTTGATAATTTCTGAGTACCTGCTCTTGGCTCAGTAGTATGCTAAATATACAAGAGAGGCCAAAAGTGATGAAGATGTAGCTTATTTTTAAAACTTTATTGTAATTAACAAATATTAATTGCATATATTTATGGAGTACAATATGATGTTATGACAATGCTTACAATGTGAAACGATTAAATCAAGCTAATTAACATACCCATCACCTCATATACTACAATTTCTGGAGAACATTATGCTAAAATGTAGCTTCTATCTTTGAAAGTCAATTTAGAGAGATGCAACATATACATATAGAGATTGTGACAAATGGTCTAAGGCAGGATTCATTCATTTATCATTGCCAATGACAATTAAGCAACACCATTTGAGTGTAGTTGTCAAATAAATATGGCTAAAAAGAAATGTTTCTTATTTTATGGATATAAAGGACACTGAGCCAGCAGACCAATAGCCTTTCTTTCCTTGAAGAATTGAGACACAAAGAGGAAATTATATGAAGCAAGTGCCCTTAATCACTCTCTAAGTTGTTTTCAGCCTTGAACAAAGGCTCCTTTGGTACTTCCTTCTCACAGTTTGCACAGCTCATCACCTGCAATACAAGTAATTTAAATTAAATCTATCTGTTTGGGTTTTAAAAAATATTTAAAATTTTTTCATCCTTATAGTTAAAAAATAATAGAGGAAATCTATCTAAGGAATCATAACAAGAAAAACATTTCACAGATGAATTAGACTGCTTCAAGACTGTCTCAGCTCTTCTTACTGAAACGTTTATTTATCCATTTGCAATTACAAATCAAGCACCTGCATTTTCAGGCATTTCTTTCACTAATAAAATAGCCCCAAATATCTAATTACATAAGGAATACCAAAATTGGTATTTATACTAGATTTATAGTATAATTGGTATTATACTTTGCCGCCTCTGTTTAATAGCTATTCCTGGCAGACAACATACAATAAAAACCCTTTTAGGTCTGGCCTGAATAGGAATCAGATTAACTTAGGCATATCATGATGAAAATTTCTCTTTCTGGTCTATTAGGCTTCAGTTCCAAATGATCTGGAAAATTCAAAGTGCCATTCTCCATTCCTGATTCTCCATCTGGATATTTAGAAACCACACTTCTTACCATGCTACAAATGAGAAAGTATCTGTTCTTACACAAAATAATTTTTCTGTTATATAATTTCCCTTGTGCAGAAGGAAAGGAAGCAAATCTTCTACACACTGTTGCCTAATTAAATCCTAGTATGAAAAACATCAAAATCCATAATAGACATAAGATAACACCACCCTAGGAATAGATGGAATAATTAAAGCTTTCTGGATTCAGCTAAAAAAAATTTTTTGAGCTACAAATACCTCAAAAATAGCTGGTTCAATACACTAACCAAGAAAAACTAGGTTTCCTCTAATCCACAGTCATTCAACAGGTAGTGTGAAATGAACTTTTGCACTATTTCAAATTCAAATTCCTCACAAAAATCCACTTCAGGTGAGAATCTGCAGGCCATTCAACTTAATCTTTTTTTTTTTATGGAAAATTTATTTTTTTATTATACTTTAACTTTTAGGGTACATGTGCACATTCTGCCGGTTAGTTACACATGTATACATGTGCCATGCTGGTGCGCTGCACCCACTAACTCGTCATCTAGCATTAGGTATATCTCCCAGTGCTATCCCTCCCCCCTCCCCCCACCCCACCACAGTTCGCAGAGTGTGATATTCCCCTTCCTGTGTCCATGTGATCTCATTGTTCAATTCCCACCTATAAGTGAGAATATGCGGTGTTTGGTTTTTTGTTCTTGCGATAGTTTACTGAGAATGATGATTTCCAATTTCATCCATGTCCCTACAAAGGACATGAACTCATCATTTTTATGGCTGCATAGTATTCCGTGGTGTATATGTGCCACATTTTCTTAATCCAGTCTATCATTGTTGGACATTTGGCTTGGTTCCAAGTCTTTGCTATTGTGAATAATGCCGCAATAAACATACGTGTGCATGTGTCTTTATAGCAGCATGATTTAGAGTCCTTTGGGTATATACACAGTAATGGGATGGTTGGGTCAAATGGTATTTCTAGTTCTAGATCCCTGAGGAATCGCCACACTGACTTCCACAATGGTTGAACTAGTTTACAGTCCCACCAACAGTGTAAAAGTGTTCCTATTTCTACATCCTCTCCAGCACCTGTTGTTTCCTGACTTTTTAATGATTCCCATTCTAACTGGTGTGAGATGGTATCTGATTGTGGTTTTGATTTGCATTTCTGTGATGGCCAGTGATGATGAGCATTTTTTCATGTGTTTTTTGGCTGCATAAATGTCTTCTTTTGAGAAGTGTCTGTTCATGTCATTTGCCCACTTTTTGACGGGGTTGTTTTATTTTTTCTTGTAAATTTGTTTGAGTTCATTGTAGATTCTGGATATTAGCCCTTTGTCAGATTAGTAGGTTGCGAAAATTTTCTCCCATTTTTTAGGTTGCCTGTTCACTCTGATGGTAGTTTCTTTCGCTGTGCAGAAGCTCTTTAGTTTAATTAGACCCCATTTGTCAATTTTGGCTTTTGTTGCCATTGCTTTTGGTGTTTTAGACATGAAGTCCTTGCCCATGCCTATGTCCTGAATGGTAATGCCTAGGTTTTCTTCTAGGGTTTTTATGGTTTTAGGTCTAATGTTTAAGTCTTTAATCCATCTTGAATTGATTTTTATATAAGGTGTAAGGAAGGGATCCAGTTTCAGCTTTCTACATATGGCTAGCCAGTTTTCCCAGCACCATTTATTAAATAGGGAATCCTTTCCCCATTTCTTGTTTTTCTCAGGTTTGTCAAAGATCAGATAGTTGTAGATATGCAGCGTTATTTCTGAGGGCTCTGTTCTGTTCCAGTTTGAAGTCAGGTAGCATGATGCCTCCAGCTTTGTTCTTTTGGCTTAGGATTGACTTGGCGATGCAGGCTCTTTTTTGGTTCCATATGAACTTTAAAGTAGTTTTTTCCAATTCTGTGAAGAAAGGCATTGGTAGCTTGATGGGGATGGCATTGAATCTGTAAATTACCTTGGGCAGTATGGCCATTTTCACGATATTGATTCTTCCTACCCATGAGCATGGAATGTTCTTCCATTTGTTTGTATCCTCTTTTATTTCCTTGAGCAGTGGTTTGTAGTTCTCCTTGAAGAGGTCCTTCACATCCCTTGGAAGTTGGATTCCTAGGTATTTTATTCTCTTTGAAGCAATTGTGAATGGGAGTTCACTCATGATTTGGCTCTCTGTTTGTCTGTTGTTGGTGTATAAGAATG